>NC_000012.12:47157097-47308612 GCF_000001405.40 Homo sapiens | reverse complement strand
CAAATCTTATTTTGTGTTCTCTGACCTTCCAGTACCTGGATATTTATATTTTTCTCAAGTTTGGAAAGTTTTATGTTATTATTTCTTTGATTAAACTTTCTACCCCTTCCCCTTGCTCGACTTTCTCTTAAACACCAATAATTTTTAGATGTGGTCTTTTGAGTTAATTTTATAGGCAATCATCATTCCTTTTCATTCTTTTTTTTCTTTTTTCTCCTCTTACTATATGTTTTCAAATAGCCTGTCTTCTCTGCTATTGAGAGCCTCTAATGAATTTTTCAGTTCACCAAATATTTTTCTAAGTTCCAAAATTTTTGTTTTTCTAAATTATTTAGATTTCTTTGTTAAATTGCTCTGATAAATTTCTGAAATTTGTTTTCCGTGTTATCTTGGCGATCACTGAGTTTCCTTAAAACTGCCGTTTAGGGTCAGTCACTGGTTTCTTGTTTTGTCCATTTGGGGAGACCTTGGTTTCCTGTTTGCTGTTGTTTCTTGTGGATGTATGTCTATGTCTTTACATTGAAGGATTAATTATTTATTCCAGTCTTCTCTGTCTGGCTTGTTTTGATTTTTATTGGCTACAATTGCTTAAAGGTTCTTTATTGCTATGGACTGTCTTCTTTTCAGCTCTAGGTGGCGTCTTTACGCCAGGTTCACCTCAGCTCTAGTAAATGATCAGAGCATGCCCTTTCTGAGTGGCAGAGGTCCCTAAGGGGATATCCTGGCAGTGTAGGAAGGTTGGCTAGAAGTTCGTCCCCAGGAGACCTGTGGAACAAACCTTCTGCAGTATGGTGCTGCTGAACAGTCACTCTGATTTGGTGTCTTGTTTGGCTGATTTACAAAGCAGTTCCCAGGGCAGGGGATGGTAGTCTTCCCTCCCCACCGGTTCTGACTGTTCTCAGGGATATTTCTCTTTTCAGGCACTCACAGTGCTTCCTGTGGCTCTAAGGTAGGGATGGGTCTCTTGCCATGGAACCCAGGATGATGAAGTTGGTTATCCACCTCAACCTCATTTTTTCCAGTGAGAAACTGAGTTGGGGGAAATTATTTCTTGTGCTTGATACCAGTCAGAATGAGGGGAGAGACGTCACAAATGTGGAAGTGTGTCCAGAATTGGTGGGTTCTTGGACTCGCTTACTTCAAGAATGAAGCCGCGGATCCTCGCAGTGAGTGTTGCAGTTCTTAAAGATGGTGTGTCCGGAGTTTGTTCCTTCAGATGTTCAGATGGGTCCGGAGTTTCTTCCTTCTGGTGGGTTCGTGGCTGACATCAGGAGTGAAGCTGCATCCCTTTGTGGTGAGTGTTACAGCTCTTAAAGGCGATGCGTCTGGAGTTATTCCTTCCTCCCGGTGGGTTCATGGTCTTGCTGGCCTCAGGAGTGAAGCTGCAGACCTTCGCGGTGAGTGTTACAGTTCATAAAGGTGGCGTGTCCGGAGTTGTTTGTTCCTCCCATCTGGAATTGTTCGTCCCTCCTGGTGAGTTCGTGGTCTCGCTGGCTTCAGGAGTGAAGCTGCAGACCTTCGTGGTTAGTGTTACAGTTCATAAAGGCAGTGCCAACCCAAAGAGTGAGCAGCAGCAAGATTTATTGCAAAGAGCTAAACCCTCCACAGCGTGCAACGGTACCCGCGTTGTGGCTGCTGGCTTGGGTGACCTGCTTTTATTCCCTTGTATGGCCCCACCCACATCCTGCTGGTTGTTCCATTTTACAGAGAGCTGATTGGTCCATTTTGACAGAGTGCTGATTGGTGCGTTTACAAACCTTTAGCTAGACACAGAGTGCTGATTGTGCTGATTGGTGCGTTTACAGTCCTTTAGCTAGACACAAAAGTTCTCCAAGTCCCCACCCAATTAGCTAGACACAGAGCACTGATTGGTGTGTTTATAAACCTTTAGCTAGACACAGAGTGCTGATTGGTGCATTTACAATCCTTTAGCTAGACACAAAAGTTCTCCAAGTCCCCACCCATCCCAGAAGCCCAGCAGGCTTCACCTTTCACTGGCACTGGCTTGACTTTGCGGCACCTATCCTGGACACTCCGGCAACCCAGAAGGAGCTCGTCCCAGACAACCAAGAGGAAAAGGGGAAGCCAGAAAGAGACAGAGACCCGCCATCGTTGCCAACAACTCGGTGAAGAGGGAATGGCGATCCAAGCAGGGGACCCAGCCTCTGATCAAGCCCAGCAGGCACCAGCCTGCTGCCCGGAGTGCGGGGCCCTCCGAGCCCGTGCCCACCCAGAACCCATGCCGGACTGCAAGCACCGCGCAGCCCCAGCTCTCGTCTGCGCCTCTCCCTCCACACCTCCCTGGAGCAGAGGGAGCCGGCTCCAGCCTCCGCCAGCCCCAGAAAGGGGACCCCACAGCGCAGTGGTGGGCTGAAGGGCTCTTCAAGCACGGCCAGAGCGGACGCCGAGGCCGAGGAGGCCCCGAGAGCTAGCAAGGGCTGCTAGCACATTGTCACCTCTCAGAAGTCCAATTCTCTTACCATCTGCTTAGAGTTTTTCACTTCTTTGTGGCCCTGGGAACTCTTTTTCATATATGAGTTCTGGAATATTTCTGGTGATAATCTTGACATTGTACATTTGGTTTTGGTTTATTGTGGAGGGAGTGAAGTCAGCATGCTTCTATGCTGCCATTTTGGAACTGGAAGTCCTCCTGACCCACAGAAACAGAAATAATAAATGTGTATTCCTTCAGGCTAGTAAGTTTGTAGCACTATTATTACACAGATAAGTAATGATACCGGAGTGCTGGGAAGGGAAGAGGGTGGTCCCTGGCTGGGCCTCTACCCCCAAGGACCTAGGTGAGGACGGTACTCCTGTCTTGGTGCTCAAATGTTGCATTTCCCAAAACTACCCTGGCCTGCCATGCCCCCATCCTGTGCCTATAGAAACCTCCCAGACCTAGCAGGCAGACACAGAAGTGGCTAGACGTCCACAGGAGCACATGGGCGGAGGCACACACAGGCGGCTGGGTGTCAAGTGGAATGCACTGGCACAGGCAATCCAGCAGGCACCCCGATCCGCAGAACAATACGGAGTTTGGCTGGGGCAGTTGGAGGAGAGCCTCGTTGATGAGCGGCCCAACTCCGGGGGAGAACCGTCTCCCTTCTGGATCCCCCATTTGCTGAGAGCCACTTCCACTCAATAAAACCTTGCTCTCATTCTCCAAGTCCACGTGTGATCCAATTCTTCTGGTGCACCAAGGCAAGAAACCCCGGGATACAGAAACCCCGGGATACAGAAATCCCTCTGTCCTTGTGATAACGAAGGGGGTCGAATTGAGCTGATGAACACAAGTCACCTATAGACGGGAAACTAAAAGAGCACCCTATAACACATGCCCGCTGGGGCTTCAGAAGCTGTAAACAATCACTCCTAGACACTGCCCTGGGGTCGGAGCTCTATATAGCCTTCCCATCTCCATTCTCCCTTAGAGGTTTGAGCAGCGGGGCATTGAAGAAGCGAGGCACTCCCCCGTCACACACCCTGTGAGGGGGACGAGGGAACCTTTCCCGTTTCGGTAATACAGAGCACATATTAATAATGGCCAGAAAAGAAAAGCAGACAGTGAAAATTTTGTTTTGTTGGACTTCATATTTATTATCATGCCAGTAAAAAAATTAATAATAAAAAAAGAATAAATAAATAAAGGCCAGGTGCGGTTCCTCATGCCTGTAATCCCAGCACTTTGGGAGGCTGAGATGGGTGGATCACCTGAGGTCAGGAGTTTGAGACCAGCCTGGCCAGCATAGTGAAATCCTGTCTCTACTAAAAATACAAAAAAAAATTAGCTGGGCCTGGTGGCAGGCACCTGTAATCTCAGCTACTTGGGAGGCTGAAGCAGGAGAATGGCTTGAACCCAGGAGACAGAGGTTGCAGTGAGCCGAGATTGTGCCATTGCACTCCAGCCTGGGCAACAAGAGCAAAACTCCGTGTCAAAAAATAATAATAATAATTAATAAATAAATAAGAGATCAAAAAGGAAAAAATTGATTAAATTTTTAAAGCATTAATTTTTTTAAAAAAGAAAAACATATCTATATATTGCTCTGTCACAGGCATGAATAATACTGTAGTTTCTGTTTTTAAGCCTTCTTCAAATTTGTCATTGGCTCTATCAATGGCTTGTTCCTTCTTGCGTGTTCATGTTAAATTCAGAGCATAGCAAGATTTGTCAATTTATATTTGCCTACAGTTGATCCTTACATAGGGATATGTCATACCATGGGGCTTGAGCCTGCCAACTGTACCCAAAACTTGAATGACTCTCAACTATAACAAATTTACTTTTGAAACAAACATGTATAGTCATGTCCACTTGTGTCAGGGCCAGCTGTATAGCTAAAGTTCCCTGAATTAACTTCCAAGTAGAATGCCATCATTTTTCTTAAGGGTTAAGCAATAAAATGTGCTAATTTAAAATGTGCATATTCATGTTTAAAGCTCAAAAGTGACTGTGGCAACTGTTTAGAACTTAGACCAATAGAAAATTTGTTTTTGTTTTTTTCCTTGGGGAAGAGTATTCCATCACTGATGTTGTTTAGAATTCCTGCTGCATAGTGATAATAAAAAGTAGCCTGAATATTAGTCTGAATGTTTTATTATTGTTGGTCTGTACCTGGGGCACACTCCATGAATCCTTGGTGCACTGTGGTGAAAGAGACAGAATAATGAGGGGTGCTGAATGTGCAGGGTGCCCAGACACGGTGTCTCTGATGAGGTCATGTTTGAACAGAGACCTAAAGGGACACAAGGAAGGAACCGTGAATCTACCTGGAGAGAATGATTCCAGCAAGCACAAAGGTTCTGCCTCCAGAATGTGGGTGGTGTGTTTGAGAAACAGCAAGCATCCCTGTGACTGGAGTAGAAGGACTGAGAAGGATATAGGAGGAGGTTAGAGAAGTAACAAGTTAAGTCAGGCATGGTGGCTTATGCCTGTAATTCCAGCACGTTAGGAGGCCATGGCATGAGAATCACTTGAGGCCAGGAGTTTGACACCAGCTTGGGCAACGAAGCAAGACCTTGTCTTTACAAAAAGAGAAAAAGATAATGTTAGCCGGGTATAGTGGCATGTGCCTGTAGATGGAGTGGGAAGACATGAATGTCTGAGCCATGTGGCTCCTGTTCCCATCACATTCCTTTACGCTGGGTGATGCAGGCTCTGGCCTGGTGAAATTACGTTGGATGTCTAGTTGGAAAACCTTGTTTAAGCCAAGTATTTCCTACTTAATAGACTTCATTCCCCAACGTGGAAAATAAGGATAATATAACCTATCTCACGGGGCTATCATGCTTATTAAATGAGATAATGTTTATGGGAGTGCTTTGTAATCTGTGAAGCATCCTGTCAAGGCGTACTCTTATTATTGTTGCTATTGTAGGTTAGGAAAAACATTCTTCTACCCTCTTAGATCTGTAGCTGGCCTAAGAATGAAACGGACATAAGACAGATTAACAGGAGAAAAGCATACAGACTTCATATTTTCGCATTTACACAGGAGTCTTTAAAAAGAAAACAACAGCCCAAAGAAGCTGTTAGGCCCAAAAGCTTCTATACCTTTTTACAAAAAGAATGACAAATTGTGGGGATATGACGAGGCAAGGAGCTTGAATAAGGGGCAATAAATTGTGGGACAGTGACTAGGAAATATATGGGGGAAACTAATGCAAGATATGGATTATTTTAGTAAGTTTGTTTGTGCATGTCCATTTCTGTGTTGATTCCAAGTCTCTGAAAATAAGAACGTTCTTTTCTCTTGATACAGGGAAGGCATCCTTTCCATGATAAATTTGATCACCTGCTTTTAGGTGGAAAGGAGGGCAGAGATCCCTTTCTGCATCTGCTGTTTCTCAATTTCCTTCAGCTCAAAATAATCAATATGCCAAAGCAGCATATTTTGGGGTGGCATATTCTGAATTCCTTCACTATTATGAGAGGCTGATGTTTAAGTGCTCAAGAATCAGGAAAAACTGAGACATTCAAGAGAAGTGCCCTGGATCCTGCAGCCCTCTTCCCATTGATTTCCAGTTCCTTTCCCACACAACCTCTCCTTCAGCAGGAGGCCTTGGTGAAGGTTGGCAGGCAGGGGCTGCTTCTCATCAGCGTGACAGGAGGTGCATCACCACCCACGGTTAACGGTTAACCAAGCTAAACAGTATAAGATAACCTTCATTTGCAAATCTAATGAGCAAAATTACAGGATTCAACTCTAATAGAGGGGGGAAATGAAGCTGAAGATCATTATTTCCACATCTAAGATTAGCAGCTGGAAAATACAGTACATCTGTAAAATGACGGTGTCAGATACCACAGCTTTGCATGACACCAGCACACACACAAAAGAAGAATCACTTCAGAGAGTAGAAGTAGAGGCGGAGTACTCTAGAGGTCACGACAGATGGACACATCTGAGCATCTGCCACATACCAAACCAGGTTACCATGACATTATGTGTTGAAACTACTGATAAAGGTCTTTGGAAAAAAGTCTACTAATACCCCAAAAAACATGAGCTGTCTTTCCATTCTTTTTCTCTTTCATAGGTCAGGAGGATGTGTTCTGTGCCTGAAGAAATACTCCCTTATATAAATCAAGTTGGAAGGATGGAGATGGAAGGAACAAATGTGGGAATAAAAAATTGGGAAGGAATTCACCTCATGGTTTGACTCTGAAACAAAATTGATAAGAGCCTTTCCCCAAAAGACCCCCTTCTTGCCTGGGAACCAGTCTGCCTTTGCAGGACTAACAAATTAGCTACAAAATTAGAAATTATGGTTTAGGGTTCATGAAGCCTCTGACTCCAGAAGTCTGAACCTTCTCAAATTGCTGCTAAAGATAATATCACTATTGTAAAACCTAAGCTTAGTGCTTAAGATATTTTGCAGACTTTGCACTTGATGGATCAGCTGACACCACCCAGACTAGTAATCTGGCTCAGCTAGTTCTACCATCCCACCCAGGAACAGAAGACGGAAAGAAAAACTCACTTCGACCCCCATGATTCCATCTTCAACCTGACCAATCAGCACTCCCCACTTCCCAAGCCCCCACCCACCAAATTATGTTTAAAAACTCTGATCTTCGAAAGCTCTGGGAGACTGCTTTGAGTAATAATACAACTCCTGGCCGGGCGAGGTGGCTCACGCTTTTAATCCCAGCACTTTGGGAGGCCGAGGCGGGCAGATCACCTGAGGTCGGAAGTTTGAGACCAGTCGGACAAACATGGAAAAACCCTGTCTCTACTAAAAATACAAAATTAGCCAGGCGTTGTGGCTCATGCCTGTAATCCCAGCTACTCGGGAAGCTGAGGCAGGAGAATGACTTGAAGCCAGGAGGTGGAGGTTGTGGTGAGCTGAGATCAAACCGTTGCACTCCAGCCTGGACAAGAGTGAAACTCCGTCTCAAAAAAAGAGAGAGAATTAGTAGTTTGCCTAAAATCATACAAGTTGTAAATAGTAGAGATGAAATCCAAACTAGGTAGAATTCATGCTTTTACCACAAAACCATACCAATTCCATTTTTATGTAGTAAAATCAATATATTATTATTTTTAAATGTAATTTAATTCTTTTTTTTGAGACGGAGTCTCGCTCTGTCACCCAGGCTGGAGTGCAGTGGCACAATCTCGGCTCACTGCAAGCTCCACCTCCTGGGTTCATGCCATTTTCCTGCCTCAGCCTCCCGAGTAGCTGGGAATACAGGTGCCCGCCACCACACCCGGCTAATTTTTGTATTTTTAGTAGAGA
This sequence comes from Homo sapiens, assembly GCF_000001405.40. NCBI lineage: Eukaryota > Metazoa > Chordata > Mammalia > Primates > Hominidae > Homo > Homo sapiens. The sequence goes on along the minus strand of NC_000012.12, from coordinate 47,300,869 downwards.
CAGGGGTTTCACCATGTTAGCCAGGATGGTCTCGATCTCGTGACCTCGTGATCCACCCACCTCGGCCTCCTGAAGTGCTGGGATTACAGGCGTGAGCCACTGGGCCTGGCCAAAATCAATATATTTTCATAGAAAATATCTGTCAGGTTGTAGATGCCAAATGTCTACAGTGGATCTGGGTGTGGTGGCACACACCTGTAGTCTCAGCTACTCAAGAGGCTGAATTGAGAGGATCACTTGAGCCCCCAGGAGTTTAAGTCCAGCCTGGGCAATATATAGTAAGACCCCATTTCTTTAAAAAAAAAAAAAAAGTTCACAATGGTTCTAGGGTAGTGAATTTCCAACATTCTTTCTCATCTATTTTTTGATTAAATAAATTTTCTAATTTTGTACTTTTTTTTCTAGACAGTCTCACTCTCTTGCCCAGGCTGGAGTGCAGCAGCATGACCTCTGCTTACTGTAACCTCTGCCCCCAGGGTTCAAGTGATTCTCCTGCCTCAGCCTCCCCAGTAGCAGGGATTACAGATACCTGCCACCACACCTGGCTAATTTTTGTACTTTTTTTTTTTTTAGTAGAGATGAGATTTCACCATATTGGGCTAGGCTGGCCTTGGAACTCCTGACCTCAGGTGATCCACCTGCCTTGGCCTCCCAAGTGCTGGGATACAGGTGTGAGCCACCACACCTGGCCTGATTTTGTACTTTTTAAATAAAAATATTTTATTCTGGTTCTGGGTAAGATGAAATGAGCATACTCCATCCTGTGTCTTCACTAAATGCAGCTGTAAAACCTAGACAGAATGCATGATGTAGGTATGTGATAACTGAAAAGTAAACACTGGCAGGAGGATCTGAAAAGACAAGAATTCAAAGGGCCACTAAATAAGCAATAAGTTTCCCATTTAACCCCGATATCCCTTGAACTCAAATAAGCCTGGAAGGGCATAAACAGAAAGAGTGCAAGAAGACTTTTAGCTCTGCTTAAACAGCAAGAATAAGAATTTCTAATGCTCAGAGAGAAGGGGAAATCTCTGTGTTTTGTTTTTCTTTCCTCTTCCTTTCTCCTCCCTCCTTTTCCTCCTTCTTTCTTCCTTCCTCCTCTTCATCTTCTTCCTCCTCCTCTTCCTCTTCCTCCTCTTCTTCTTCTCTCTTTCTTTTTGTTTTTCTTCCCAGTCCCCCAGCAATGCTGCAGCAGTGATGGGGAGAGGGGCCTAAAACTCTGAAGAAGGGGAAACTTTTCCTTCAGTTGAAGGAGCTAAGATCTCAAGAGAAGGAGACAAACCCCTGTTGTTTTTCCCTTTTTCTCCCTTACCACTACCCTCCCATCTGCACCAAACGCAGGTGCAGTTATGAGAAGTACACAGAAGACAGGAGTAACTGAAGTTCCAGGTTTCTGACCTAAAGACGGAAAGAGTGAAGCCCAGGGAACTTAAAAGTAACAGAGAGATGACATAGAGACAGGAGGTTTAGAACATAACCCCATAAAAATTCCTTATGAACTCCTAGGTTCACTCCTGAACATGGATCTGATTCTAAGCATCATGTCAGTCCTTGGGAATGGAACTAAGTGAGATACCACTATCCAGGTCCCAGAGAGGCCACTAAACAGTGCATACACAGGACATATCTGAATAACACAGCAAAGGGTTTGGAAAGAGAACTGACTCTGAAACTATAACCAACAAAACATGCAACCTTAACCCATTCAAGTCAATTTTTCTGCTAAAACAAAATATCAGCATTATCCATAAGATTTTAAGAAGACCCATAGTCCCATAGCCAACACTCAAAATTTCCAGCATAAAATCCAAAATTACTTAGCATATGAAGAACTAGGAAAATCTCGACTCACATGGGAGAAAACAGTCAACAGATGTCAAAGCCAAGATGACACAGATGTTGAAATTTTCTGACAAAAACTTTAAAGCAGATATTTTTAAATGCTCTAAGAAGTAAAGGAAAATACTATTGAAATGAATAGAACAGTAGAAAATCTCACCAAAGGACTAGAAGATATTTTTAATAACCAAATGGAAATTATAGAACTGAAAAAATACAATAGCTGGGGAAAAAGTTGCAGTGAATGGACTTAACAGAACAGAGATGAAAGAGGAAAGAGTCAAATACATTTGAAATTGGATCAATAGAATTATTCTATCTGAACAACAGAGAAAAAAAAGGAAAGAAACAAACAAACAAAAGAACAGAGACTAGGGACTTCATTGTCCTCAGAGCCAATACTAAAAGGCCTACATTTATATCATTGGTGTTTCAGGAAAAGAGGAGAAAGAGTATAGTGTAAAAAAATTTGAAGAATTAATGGCTGAAAACTCTCCAAATTTGGCAAAAGATGTAAACCTACAGATGCAGGAAGCTCAGTGAATCTGAAACAAGATAAATCCAAAGAAATCTATGCTCAGACACAGCATATCAAATGGCTAAAAATTAAAGACAATAAAAAAAGGCTTGAAAATGGACATAGAAAAATGATACATGATTTACAGAGAAACAATAACTTGAATAACACATTTTTTATCTGAAGCCATAGAAGCCAAAAGGAAGTGGTAGAACATTTTTTAAATGTTGAATTAAAAATAAATTACCTAGAATTCTATATATAGAGAAAATAGTCTCTGGAAATGAAGATGAAATAAAGACATTCTCAGATGAAAGAAAACTAAGAATTTATGGCTGGCAGACCTACTCTGAAATACAGGAAGGAAATGACACCTGAAAAAAGTTTAGAACATCAGGACTAAAAACAAGAGTAACATAAATGGTAAATATCTGGGTAAATATAATAGACTTGAGTTCTTTAAAATATGTTTGATAGTTGAAAGCAAAGATTTAAAAAAATCTAATTGGTCTTAAGCATATATAGATATATTTCATAAAACAGCTACAACACGAAAAGGGAACATAAAAAAATAAGGTGATGAAATTTCTACATTCTACATGAAGTGGTAAAATATAATTTTAAAAAGACTGTTGAGGCTGGGTGCAGTGGCTCATGTCTGTAATCCCAGCACTTTGGGAGGCCAAGGCAGGTGGATCACTTGAGGTCAGGAGTTTGAGATCAGCCTGGCCAACATGGTAAAACCCTGTCTCTACTAAAAATACAACAGTTAGCTGGGTGTGGTGGTGCTTGCCTGTAATCTCAGCTACTTGGGAGGCTGAGGCAGGAGAATTGCTTGAACCTGAGAGGCGGAGGTTGCAGTGAGTCAAGATCACATCACTTGTGCTCCAGCCTGGGTGACAGAGTGAGACTCTGTCTCAAAAATAAATAAATAAGGTCAGGCACGATGACTCACGCCGTAATCCCAGCATTTTGGGAGGCTGAGGCAGGTGAATCATGAGGCCAGCAGTTTGAAACCAGCCTGGCCAACATGGTGAAACCCCGCCTCTACTAAAAATACAAAAAATTAGCTGGGTGTAGTGGCGGGTGCCTGTAATCCCAGCTACTCAGGAGGCTGAGGCAGGAGAATCACTTCAACTTGGGAGGCAGAGGTTGCAGTGAGCCGAGATCGCGCCGCTGCACTCCAGCTTGAGTGACAGAGAGAAACCCTGTCTCAAAAAATAATAATAAATAAATAAATAAAATTTTAAAAAATAAAAAAACTGTTGAAAGTTAGTTATTTATATGTAAGCCCTAGGACAGCTGCTTTAAAAGCTATACAAAGAAATGTAGAAAAAAAATGGTAGATAAATTTAAATGGAATATTATAAAATGTTCAAACAACCCAAGAGAAGGCAGAAGAGAAGAAAGACTCAAAAACAGAGGGAATGAACAGTAAATAAATTAAATGCTAGCCCTAAACCAAAATGTATCTATAGTTACATTAAATGTAAATGGTCTAAACAAAGGCTTGGCAAATTTCTTCTGTAAAAGGCTAAAGAGTAAATTAGGCTTTGTGAGTATACAGGCTTTTACAACCATTCAACTCTGCCACTGTAGCACAAAAGCAGCCATTGGCTATAATGCATAAGTGGATGAGTGCAGCTGTGATCCAATAAAACCTTATTTACAAAAAGAGGTAATGGGCTGGATATGGCTTATAGCTGTAGCTTGCTGACCTCTGTCTAAACATACCAATTAAAAGACAGAGATTTCCAGAATATATGAATAACCATAAACTGTATACTGTCTACAAAAAACTCACTTCAAACATAATGCCATAGGTAGGCTAAAAGTAAAAGGATGGGAAAAGATATACTTTCACTCGCGTCCCTGTGAAGAGACCACCAAATAGGCTTTGTGTGAGCAACAAGGCTGTTTATTTTACCTGGGTACAGGCGGGCTGAGTCCGAAAAGAGAGTCAGTGAAGGGAGATAGGGGTGGGGCCGTTTTATAGGATTTGGGTAGGTAGTGGAAAATTACAGTCCAAGGGGGTTGTTCTCTGGCTGGCAGGGGTGGGGGTCACAAGGTGCTCAGTGGGGGAGCTTTTGATCCAGGATGAGCCAGGAGAAGGAATTTCACAAGGTAATGTCATCAGTTAAGGTAGGAACAGGCCATTTTCACTTCTTTTGTGATTCTTCAGTTACTTCAGGCCATCTAGATGTATACGTGCAGGTCACAGGGGATATGATGGCTTAGCTTGGGCTCAGAGGCCTGACATATACCATGAAAATATTAATCAAAAGAAAGCTGGAAGAAAAAAAAGAAAGCTGGTGTGGATATATTAATATCAGACAAAGCAAACTTCTGAGCAAAATATTACAAATAATAAATAAGAATATTACATAATGATAAAAGGATCAATTCACCAAGAAGACATAATCTTAAATGTGTATGCACCTAACAAGAGTTTCAAAATACATTAAGCAAAAATGGAAAGAACTGAAAGGACAAATATATAAATACACAGTTACATTTAGAGACTTAAATGTTTCTTTCACAGTATAGAGAAAATTAGCAAAAATATGGAAGAGCTAAACAACATTACCAACAAACTGAATATATTTGACATTTATGGAAACTACCCAACAACAAATATTAGTAAAATCAACAAATAGAATTCAGCAAAAGATATTGTGAGGGGAAAATATCTTGGGCCCCCAAAATCACTAAGCTAAAAGGGAAATTCAAGCTGGAAACTGCTCAGGGCAAACCTGCCTCCCATTCTATTCAAGGTCATCCCTTTGCTCACTGAGATAGATGCATATCCTGATTGCCTCCTTCAGAAAGCTTATCAGAAACTCAAAATAATGCAACCATTTGTGTCTCACCTACCTGTGACCTGGAAGCCCCCTCCCTGCTTTGAGTTGTCCCTGACTTTCTGGAGGGAACCAGTGTACTTCTTACATATATTGACTGATGTTTCCTGTCTCCCTAAAACGTGTAAAACCAAGCTGTACCCTGTCCACCTTGGACACATGTTCGTCAGGACTTCCTCAGGCTGTGTCATGGGCACATATCCTCAACCTTGGCAAAATAAACTTTCTAAATTAACTGAGACCTGTCTCAAGTTTGGGGTGTTCACAATGCTAAGAATAATACTTCATGACCAAGTGAATTTTATCTCAGGAATCCAAAGCTGGCTCAATATTCATAATTCAATCAATATACTCCGCCTTATTACATTTTTTTCAACTGCATATGGAACAATAAACAAGATAGACCATATCCTAGGTAATAAAACAAACCTTAACAACTTTAAAAGAATTGAAATCACAAAAAGTATGTTCTATGACCACAGTGGAACAGAACTAGAAATAGATAACAGGAAAATCTTCAAACACTTGGACATAAAAACACTTCTAAGTAGCCCATGAGTCAAAAGAAAATCTTGAGGAAAATTAGAAAAGATCTTAAATGGAACAAAGAAACATATATAACATTAAAATTTGTGAGACTCAAAAATAAAGACTATTTAAAAGGAAACAATGGTGGGATGCAGGTCAAGCAGTGCTTAGAGTGAAATTGTGTCATTAAATGCTTACATTCAAAAAGAATGTGGCCATTAAAAAGAACAAAATCATGTCCTTTGCAGCAACATGGTTGCAGCTGGAGGCCATTATCCTAAGCAAATTAATAATGTAGGAATAGAAAACCAAATACCTCATGTTCTCAGTTATAAGTAGGAGCTGAACATTCAATACACATGGACAGTAGACACTGGGATTTTTAGCAGGGGAAAGGAGGGAGGAATGGGCTTAAAAAACTACCTATTGGGCCCTATACTCAGTACCTGAGGGATGGGACTATTGGTACCCCAAACCTCAGCATCATGTAAACATGTAACAAACCTGCACATGCACCCCTTGAATCCAAAAATTAAAAAAAAATTTTTTTTAAAGAAATTGTTTAAAAAGCAAAAACCCAGAATATTTTTATGATCTCAATTTTATAAAATAAAAGATTTACATGCAAACATGCATGTACACACACTGAGTAAATGGAACAAGCCATCATGTTAACAGTGGTTGTCACTGAAAAAAAAAAAGGTCTTAAATCAGTGATTTAAGCTTCCACCTAAGAAACTAAACACAAAAAGAGCAAGATAAACCCAAAGCAAGTGAAAGAAAGGAAATAATGAAGACGAAAGAAGAAATCAATAAAATTGAAACAGGAAAAAAAAAAACCATAAAGCTGTCTCTTTGGAAACATCAACAAAATAAATAAATTTATTTATTTATTTATTTATTTATTTATTTATTTATTATTTTTTTGAGACAGAGTCTCACTCTGTCACCCAGGCTGGAGTGCAGTGGCGCAGTCTCGGCTGATCGCAACCTCTGCCTCCCAAGCTGAAGTGATTCTCCTCCCTCAGCCTCCTGAGTAGCTGGGATTACAGGCGCCCGCCACTACACCCAGCTAATTTTTTGTATTTTTAGTAGAGGCGGGGTTTCACCATGTTGGCCAGGCTGGTTTCAAACTGCTGGCCTCATGATACCAATATTGACCAAAAGACAGTGAAGGAGAAAGAGAGAAGACACACATTACCAGTGACAAGAATGAAAGAAAGAAGATCATTACAGGCGTCACAGACATTAAAAGGATAGTAAGGAAATACCCGAATGGCTCTGTGTACATGTATGCAGTCATTTAAATAAAAAGGAACAATTCTTTGAAGATCACAGACTACCAAAACTTACTCAAGATGAAATTATAACATAAATTCTCATATATATAAATTGTCATAAATAATATATAATACAAATATAGTGTAGCAGGACAAGCCGCAGACAAAACCCCTTAGACACTGAGTTAAAGGAAGGGCTTTATTTGGCCGGGAGCTTCCGCTTCCGCGAGACTCAGGTTTCCAACAACTGAGCTCCCAGAGTGAGCAATTCCTGTCCCTTTTAAGGGCTCACACCTCTAAGGGGGTCCGCGTGAGAGGATCGTGGTTGATTGAGCAAGCAGGGGGTACGTGACTGGGGGCTGCATGCGCCGGTAATTAGAACGGAACAGAACGGGACAGGGATTTTCACAGTGCTTTTCTATACAATGTCTATAATCTATAGATAACATAACTGATTAGGTCAGGGATCGATCTTTAACTACCAGGCCCAGGGTGTGGCGCCGGGCTGTCTGCTTGTGGATTTCATTTCTGCCTTTTAGCTTTTACTTCTTTCTTTGGAGGCAGAAACTGGGCATAAGACAATATGAGGGGTGGTCTCCTCCCTTAATAGTAAGTTTATATTTATTATGAGAAATTGGCTCATGCAATTACAGAGGCTAAGTACCACCATCAGCCACCTGCGATTTTAAGACTCAGGAAATTTGGTGGAAAATACTGAATTTTTTTCCCTAAGGTCATGACTAAGACAAACATATTCTTTTTTTTTTTTTTTTTTTTTTTTTTGAGACGGAGTTTTGCCTTGTCGCCCAGACTGGAGCGTAACTGAAAGCTCCACCTCCCAGGTTCACGCCATTCTCCTGCCTCAACCTCCTGAGTAGCTGGGACTACTGGCGCCGGGCTAATTTATTTTTATTTTTTATTTTTAGTAGCGACGAGGTTTCACCATGTTAGCCAGGACGGTCTCGATCTCCTGATCTCGTGATCCGCCTGCCTCGGCCTCCCAAAGTGTTGGGATTACAGGCATGAGCCACCGCGCCCGGCCAACCAGCATGTTCTTTAGGAGTGCATATTTAGGTGGCAAAACTCTAAAGCAAAACAACAGTTGATTATTATCCAAGCCGGGATAGCTGTTACCTCTAGGAAAGGTAAGGAAGGGAGGACCTCTGGGGTGTTAAAAATAACTTATTTCTTAACCTAATGGTGGCTTTGTAGGTGCCCATATCACAATTTGTTAAGTTGTACATTTATTTTATGCATTTTTCTGTATTTGATTGTATTTCTCAAAAAAAGTTGAAGAAAAGTGAATTTTTAAAAAACGTTTAATGTTAGTTTTATTAGGAAGAATAATTTAGCACCTTATTCCTCTTAACATTCATATATGCGTATATATATATATATATTTTTTTTTTCTTTCTTTCTTTTTTTTGAGACAGAGTCTCTCTCTGTTGCCCAGGCTGGAGTGCAGTGGTGCAATCTCGGCTCACTGCAACCTCCACCTCCCCGGTTCAAGCGATTCTCCTGCCTCAGCCTCCCAAGTAGCTAGGACTACAGGCGCTTGCCACCATGCCCGGCTAATTTTTTTGCATTTTTAGTAGAGATGGGTTTTCACTTTGTTAGCCAGGATGGTCTCGATCTCCTGACCTTGTGATCTGCCCACCTCAGCTTCCCAAAGTGCTGGGATTACAGGCGTCAGCCACTGCGCCCAGCCACTATATTTTTAATATTAACACAATTAGTAAAGAGTTGAAGTAATGAATTGCCCTCAAGAGCTTTCATTTTATTCAAATCAAGATCATGATTTAGCTACTCAGCATGGAAGAGGAGTCTCAGTTTCCTCGTCTGCACAGTGACGGGCAGGCTAGAAAGTGATGCTGACTGGCTGAGTGGGGCTACAGGACACTGAACATACAATCCCAGTCAGGAAGCTCAGTCTGTTTTCTGCTTCAATCAAAACCCTTTCTGATTAAAGAAAAAGTGTCAAAAATTGGCTTTAATTACCTAAAAGCTTTTTATGTAAGTTCCTTAGAAGATTATTTATAGCAAAGCCATTTAATATCATTAAGATAATTCCATGTGCATTTAAAAAACGTATTTTAAATTCCAGTGATGGCTCAAATTCTCTTTCCTAAGTTTTAAGGTTTGACTTGCTTAAAACAGTGCTTAAAACAAAAATTTGTATTAAGGGGCTAATAGAAATTTTGAAAGGCAAGGATGGATAACAAACTAAGAGTGGCAAAAAATCCTATAATTAATCCTAATTTACATTGGTTCTATGCAGAAAATACAAAACCATGTAGGTAGACTTCAGCAGAAGTGCTCATAAAAACACTTTTTTCTTTCACAGTTGGAAAAATGACTTAAAATTTGAGTTTTATAAATATTTGTTCATTTTAAATTTTTAAAAAGACCTTATTTCGGGGGAGAGTTGAGGGCTTTCTAAAATATATACTATAGCAGACTATCTTTGTGTTTTGTTATGCATGCTCAAGTTTTAAATTTGTATGTAGTAAAATCCAGAATTTGGGGGAAGTGGGGAGGGTTATATGGGTACAAAAACATAGACAGAATGAATAAGACCTAGTATTTGCTAGCACAACAGAGTGACTGCAGCCAAAAATAATTTAATCGTACACTTTAAAATAACTAAGAGTGTAATTGGATTGTTTGTAACACAAAGTATAAATGCTTGAGGTGATGGATACTCCCATTTACCCTGATGCGACTATTACACATTGCATTGCATGCCTGTGTCAAAATATCTCATGGAACCCATAAATGTTAAAGGTAAATACACCTACTATGTACCCACAAAAATTTTTAAGCCTGCAATAAATTGGGTTCCACTTTTTAAAAATCTACAATTCCCAGCCCAGCGCAGTGGCTCACGCCTGTAATCCCAGCACTTTGGGAGGCCGAGGCGGGCGGATCACGAGGTCAGGAGATCAAGACCATCCTGGCTAACACGGTGAAACCCCGTCTCTACTAAAAATATAAAAAAATTAGCCGGGCGTGGTGGCGGGCGCCTGTAGTCCCAGCTACTCGGGAGGCTGCAGCAGAAGAATGGCCTGAACCCGAAGGCAGAGCTTGCAGTGAGCCGAGATCGCACCACTGCACTCCAGCCTGGGCAACAGAGCCAGACTCTGTCTCAAAAAATGAAAAATAAAATAAATAAATCTACAATTCCCTTCTTTGTGATTTTTAAAAAAATCTTTTCTATGCCTAGAAAGTAGTTCCCCATACACATCTCATTCATTGAATTAATCTCATTCATTTACTTAATGAATATTAAGCATCTACTTTGGGGGGCTGAGGCAGGAGGATCACTTGAGGCCAGGAGTTGAAGATGAGCCTGGGCTATTATAGCAAGACCCTGTCTCTACAAAACATTTAAAAATTAGCTAAGCATTGTGGCACATGCCTGTAGTCCTAGCTATTCAGGAGGCTGAAATGGGAGGACTGCTTGAGCCCAGGAGGTTAAGGCTGCAGTGAACCATGATCATGCCACTGCACTCCAGACTGGGCAACAGAGCAAGATGCTGTCTCTTAAAAGAAAAAAAGTGTGTATGTGTGTGTGTGCGTAGATACACTCTCTCTCTCTCTATATATATATATACACATATATACTCTCTCCGTGTTTATATATTTAAAACGTGTGTGTATATATACATTTAAAAATATATATACATTGTAAATATATAGAGACTATATATATATAGAGAGAGAGTGTGTGTGTATATATGTATATATAGAGAGAGAACATCTACTATGTGCAGACACTGTTCTAGGTACATATCAGAAAACAAAACAGACAAAATATCCTGCCTTTGCGGAACTTACTTCAAGAGGAAAGAGACAAAAAACATAATACTCACACCTATATTATATCATATATTAAAAGGTAATAAGGGCTATGTGCAAAATCTAGCACAGGGGGGCTGGGCACAGTGGCTCATGCCTGTAATCCTAGCACTTTGGGGGGCTGAAGTGTGTGAATCGCTTGAGTCCAGGAGTTCGAGACCAGTTTGGGCAACATGGCAAAACCCCGTCTCTACAGAAAAATACAAAAATTAGCCTGGTATGGAAGTGCATGCCTGTGGTTCCAGCTACTTGGGAGGTTGAAGTGTGAGGATCGCTTGAACCCAGCGGGCAGAGGTTGCAGTGAGCTGAGATTGAGCCACTGCACCCCAGCCTGGGGAGACAGAATGAGAGTCCATCTCAAAAGAAACAACCCCCCCCAAAAAAAACTAGTGCAGGGTTATGGACATCACCAGTGCCAGGACAGGAGCGGAGAGGTGGTGGCTTGTTGCAATTATGAACAAAGTGGTGCTCCAATATGGGGTTCACTATATAAAAAAAAAGGGGGCAAGAGTCAACCTCATTTACCTAATTTGAGGAGATGGCATTTGAAGAAGGTTTAAAGGAGATGAGAGAGTAAGCCACATAATTACTTTGGGGAAGAGCATTCTAGGAAAAGGGAACAATATGTGCAAAGCCTTTGAGTACGGAGAGTATCTTTGGAATGTTCAAGAAAAAGCATGGAATCCCCCCTATGTCTGGAGCAGAGTCAACAAAGGGGAGAGTAATCAGAGATGTGGTCAGAAAGATAAGACAGGTCTTTTGTATTACATTGTAAGGAGTCTGACATTCACTCTGAGTAAAATGAGAGCCATTGGAGTGCTCAATTATGTCACTCAGATTTTGACAGGATCACTCTGGCTACTCTTTTGAAGATACAATGTAGCGTTGGGCAAGGTGGGCAAGGTGGCTTACACCAGTAATTCCAGCACCTTGGGAGGCCAGGGCAGGAGGATAGCTTGAGGCCAGGAATTCGAGGCCAGGGATTTTGTAGAGACATAGCGAGTCCTCATCTCTACAAAACTATTTTTAAAATTGGCCAGGCCCGGTGGCAAGTGCCTGTAGCCCTAGCTATTCAGGAGGCTGAGGCAGGAGGATCACTTGAGCCCTGGAGTTCCAGGCTGCGGTGAACTAAGATTGTACCACTGCAGTCCAGCCTGGGCAACAGAGCAACACCTTGTCTTAAAAAAAAAAAAAAAAAGAAAAGAAGAGAAAAGAAAGTAGAATGTAGGAAAACAAGGGTAGAGTGACCTGTTAAGAGGCTATTACAATAATCCATGTGAGATATGATGGTGGGTACCACTGTGCAACTGTGGAGGTGGTGGGAAGTGGTCAGATTTCACGTATATGTTGAAGGGAGAGACAACAGAATTTCCTGATGGAAGGATGGAGTTGTCATCAGCTAAATACTGAAATGAAGAAGAAAATGAGTACAGAGGAGATGAATTAGATTAGATCAGTTTTTGACCTGTTAAGTTGAGATGCCTATTTGACAGTTAAATACAATGTTGAGTAGTGTACTAAGTTAAATAGTGTTGTCCCAAAATTCATATCCACTTAGGTCTTTGCAGATGTAATAGGTTAAAATAAGAAGTCATACCAGATTAGTCCCTAAATCCAATGATTTGTCTTTTTTTTTTTGAGACAGAGTTTTGCTCTTGTCGACCAGGCTGGAGTACAGTGGCGCGATCTAGGCTCACTGCAACCTCTGCTTCCTGGGTTCAAGCGATTCTCCTGCCTCAGCCTCCCAAGTACCTGGGATTACAGGCGTCCGCCACCACACCAGCTAATTTTTCGTATTTTTAGTATGGATGGGGTTTCACCATGTTGGTCAGGCTGGTCTTGAACTCCTGACCTCAGGTGATCCACCTGCCTTGGCCTCCCAAAGTGCTGGGAATACAGGCATGAGCCACTGCGCTCAGCCCATTTGTGTCCTTATAAGAAGACTATGTGAATCCACAGAGACACACAGGGGAGAACTCCATGTAAGGATGAAGGCAGAAATTGGAGTCATGAGTTCTCTAATCAAGCAATGCCAAAGATTGCTAGCAACCACCAGAAACTAGAGGGGAGGTATGGGATAGCTTCTCTCTCAGAGCCTCTGTAAATAACCAGCCCTGATGACACCCTGATTTTTGGATTTCTGGACTTCTGCACTGTAAAAGAGCAAATCTCTGTTTTAAGCCACCAAGTTTGTGGTAATTTGTTATGGTGGCCCTAGGAAACTGACATAAGTAAACAATTGAAAATATGAGGGTGAGGTTTGGGCAAAAGTTCTGGCTGGATTGGAGATATAAATTTGTGAATTGGAACCTTATAAATAGTATTTAAAGCCATGAAATTAAATCTCAAGCAAATTTTTAAAATTTGGAAGAAGAGGAATAGGGAAGGGAAGAGAACCAAGAACTGAACCCTGGAGCCCTCTGTATTAAGATTTTGGGAAGGGCCGGGCACGGTGGCTCGCGCCTGTAATCCCAGCACTTTGGGAGGCCGAGGTGGGCGAATCACGAGGTCAGGAGATCGAGGCCATCCTGGCTAACACGGTGAAACCCTGTCTGTACTAAAAATACACAAAAATTAGCCGGGCATGCTGGCGGGTGCCTGTAGTCCCAGCTACTCAGGAGGCCGAGGCAGGAGAATGGCGTGAACCTGAGAGACAGAGATTGCAGTAAGCCGAGATCTCGCCATTGCACTCCAGCCTGGGTGACAGATAGAGACTCCATCTTAAAAAAAAAAAAAAAAAAAAAAAAAAAGAGTCTGGGAAGATGAGGAGGAACCAGTAAGAAAAGTCACCAATGAGGCAGGAGGATAAAGCACAAGACATGATATCCTAGAAGTCAAATGAAAAAAGTCTTTTTAGACAAAATGCACAAATAAAGCAATTAAATAATGAAGCAACAAAAGAAGCAACAAAAGCGCAGATTTATTGAAGCGAAAGTACACTTCACAGAATGGGAGTGGGCTCAAGCAGGCAGTTCAAGAGCCCCAATTACAATGTTCTTTAGGGTTCTTATTAAGTTAAAAGACTTTGGTAACACCCCTAGGTGCCCTTTAGAGGCCTTCAATTGGATACACGCTATGAAGGATTAGTCCATGACCAATCAAAGGCTGAAGTGAAAACTTCTGTCTTGTTATCACAGGAGTGAAAATGTGCCCTTTGTGCTGCTTAATCTTGCCTAGAACTGGCTGCACCTGCTGTTCTTTTGATTATTCCTTAACCGTTGGTTAGCCTAATTCCCTATTCTCCTGCCCCATGAAGAAAGGAATTGTAAACAGTGACTGTGGCAAAACAATATGATTTTGCTTTAAAAAAGAGCAAACTAGAGTTTCTGGAGGAATTAGTGGAGTCAAGAGAGGGTGATTTTAAAGTGGAAAAAATAACAGCATATTTTTTTGAAAAAGGGACTGAGTTAGGAGAGAGGTGAAAATTGATCCCTGTAGAAGGTACAGGAAATAAGTGATGTCCCATGTAGGAAAGAAGGCATAGGATCTGGGGCTGTGCTGTCCAATATGGAAGTGAGGAACCACGTATGGGTTCTAAGCCTTGAAATGTGGTGAGTCCAAATTGAGACGTGCTGCAAGTATAAAACACAGACCAGATTTAAAAAAGTATGAGGAAAAAAAGTGTGTAAAATATCTTATGAATAATTTTTGTTAATTACATGTTGAAATGATAATATTTTTGATACGTTGAGTTAAACAAAAGATATTAAAATTATTTTTACCTGTTTCTTTTTACCTTTTTTAATATGGATACTAGAATTATTATTTTTTTAATCTTTTTTTTTTTTTTTAAAGACAGAATCCACTCTGTCACCCAGGCTGGAGTGCAGTGGTGCAATCTCAGCTCACTGCAACCTCCACCTCCCAGGTTCAACTGATTCTTGTGCCTCAGCCTCCCCAAGTAGCTGGGATTACAGCTACTTTTGCACCACCACGCCCAGCTAAGTTTTGTATTTTTAGTAGAGACAGGGTTTCACCATGTTGGCCAGGCTGGTCTTGAACTCCTGACCTCAGGTGATCTGCCCTCCTTGGCCTCCTAAAGTGCTGGCATTACAGGTATGAGCCACTGTGCCCAGTCGAATTTTTTTTTTTTTTCTTTTTTGAGGCAGAGTCTCACTTTTTCACCCAGGCTGTGGTGCAGTGGCACTATCTCGGCTCACTGCAACCTCTGCCTCCTGGGATCAAGCTTTCCTCCCACCTGATCCTCCCAACTCAGCCTCCAGAGTAGTTGGGAGTACAGGCAGGCGCTTCCATGCTTGGCTAAATTTTTTTTTTTTTTTTTTTTTGGAGAGACAAGAAGTTTCACCATGTTGCCTATGCTGGCCTTGAACTCCTGGCTCAAGCATCTGCCCACCTTGGCCTCCCAAAGTGCTAAGATTACAGGAGTGAGCCACCGCTGGGTACTAGAAAATGTAAGGCTCCATTTGTGACTCATGTTCTGCTTCTATTGCGCAGAGGTGCTTGAGGGATGATATGAAGGAATTGGCCTTAGGAGCAAAAACAGTTTGTCTAAAATAATGAGAAGGAAGGCAGAATGTAGGGGCATAAACGCTGTTTGCTAAGTAGAGAGGGTGGTGGGTGTTTGAAAATTGCTTCAGTTTTCTCAGTGAATGAGGAAGCAAGGTTTTCCATAAGTTGAATTAAATTCATTTATGTAGAACTTATTTTGGTGTAGAGCATAAGGTAAGGATCTAAATATTTTTCCCTCAAATAATTTACCATTTATCCCAGCACCATTTATTGAGTAAGGTTTCTCCCCCTTTGATGTGTGATGCCTCCTTTTTCCTAGAACAAATTCTGTGATCTGTTTCTGAGCTGTCTGCTCCATCTATGTGACTAGGCTTG
Source organism: Homo sapiens (assembly GCF_000001405.40). Taxonomy (NCBI): domain Eukaryota; kingdom Metazoa; phylum Chordata; class Mammalia; order Primates; family Hominidae; genus Homo; species Homo sapiens. The sequence goes on along the minus strand of NC_000012.12, from coordinate 47,285,144 downwards.
CACTTGCCCCTTGTTGATTTAATTATTGCAGCTATATAATACGCTGTGTGTGTTACGACCATCCCTACCATTCCTTCCCTTTCCCTGATACTTCCCGTATATTTGCTCGATACAAGCACAGACAAAATTTTGAGATATTCTGCCAAGTTTTAAAAGTTTAAGATAGATGTATTAATCTAAACTTTCCACATGGACTTTTTAAATACAATTTCAACCTTTATTTTAGATTCAGAGGGTACATGTACAGATTTGTTGCATAATGCTAAGGCTTTTGGGGTGCTGTTGATCCCAGAACCCAGGTAGTAAGCATATTATCCAATAGTTTCTCAAGCTTTCCCACTTCCATCTCCACCCCCTCTAGTAGTCCCTAGTGTGTATTGCTGCCATCTTTATGCCCATGAGTACTTAATGTTTAGCTCCTACTTATAGAACATGTAGTATTTGGTTTTCTGTTTCTGTGTTAATTTGCTTAGGATAATGGCCTCCAGCTGCAACAAAAGAATATAATTTTGTTCTTTTTGTGGCTGCATAGTATTCAATGGTATACGTGTACCACATTTTCTTTATTCAGTCCACTGTTGATGGGCACCTAGGTTGATTCCATGTCTTTGTTATTGTGAATAGTGCTGCAATGAACATATGCATGCATGTATCTTTTTGATAGAACAATGTATTTTCTTTTGGGTGTTGATGAAAAGAGTGAAACTTCATAAAATAGTTGAAGAGATTTATTCTGAGCCACATATAAGTGACCAATGGCCCATGACACAGCCCTCAGGAGATCCTGAGAACATGTGCTCAAAGTGGCTGGGTTATAGCTTGGTTTTATACATTTCAAGGAGACATAGGACATTAATCAATACAAGTAAGATGTATATTGGTTCTGTCCATAAATGCAGGACAACTGCAATTTTAGAGGGTTCCCAAAATCACTCTTTGATTTGGTATTCCCTAGAAACATGGGACTCACCAAAAGCTGTTATAGTCACATTTATGGTTTATTATAAGGAAAGGTTACAGGTTAAGCTTAGCCAAAAAGAGACACATAGGGCAGAGTCCAGAAGGGTTCCAAATGCAGAGCTCCTGTTGTCTTTTCCCCACAAAGTAAGGATACACGGTGGCATCCATGTGTGACAATACAGCAACCAAGAGAGAATCACCAACCAAGAGAGCTCACCTAAGCCTCAGGGTTCAGTTTTTGTTGGAGCTCCATTTCGTGGGCATAAATGATTGACTGGCCACATGGTTGATCTTAGTCTCCAGGCCACCGATACTGGGTGACCCAAAGCCTCCACCCAAAGTCACATTGTTGGTCTTTCAGCTCCAACCCTATGGCTACATGGGAGTGGCCAGTCCCCACCTTAAATTGCACTGACAATCCACTGTGACCCCCATCCCTCGGGCTAAGAAAGACAGTAGAGATTACGTTCCAGAAGCCAAGGACAAAAGGCGGGCTTATTTTGAAGAAGGTTAATTCTTCACCACATAGTAACATTTCTTTGCTTCCTGCATAATTAGAAAGAGAAAAGGGCTTCAGCTCAGAGGCTTTTTTGTTGTTTTTTGAGACTGAGTCTCACTGTGTCGCCCGGGCTGGAGTGCAGTGGTGCAATCTTGGCTCACTGCAACCTCTGCTTCCCAGGTTCAAGTGATTCTCCTGCCTCAACCTCCCGAGTAGCTGGGATTACAGGCACCCGCCACCACACCTGGCTAATTTTTGTATTTTCAGTACAGATGGGGTTTCACCATGTTAGCCAGGCTGGTCTCGAACTCCTAACCTCAGGTGGTCTGCCTGCCTCGGACTCCCAACATGCTGAGATTACAGGCATGAGCCACCACGCCTGGCCAGGCTTAGACTTTTTGAAGAGAGTTCACTTTGGCTGTGCCTGAAGGGTGCTGCTCTTTAATTCTCCAGGGGAAAACGGAACTCACCCCACACTTGGGAAACAGCCCTTAACCAATCAGTAACACAAACAGAATACTCCAGGAGGCCTTGATTCTCTAATCAGCAATCCAAATCACGCTGGGGAAATTACCCTTAATGTGTCATCCAAATTTCATGTAGACCCATTTAAATGTAAAACAAAGATAACAGAGTGTATCCTAGTGAAATGTGCCTCTCTTCCAATCATGCTGCTCTTTCCCTAGCACTCAAAATTTACACCCTGCTGAGAAGTTACCCTACATCACCTTCCCAGTTAGCAAAACTCCCGTCAGAGAAAGTCAACTATTTTTGAAATGCTTTTTCAGTGTGTTTTCAATACAAAGTCTGTTGGTCAATTAATAAGCAGGGAAGACCTGGTTAGTGGCAGGCACTGGACTAACATTGTGGTGAATGCAAAGGCAACAATGTGATCTCCATTCAGGGAGCTGGCAATCTAGAAGGGTGAAGAAAATACACAGACAGATAACCCAAGGGCAGAAGTTGAGAGATGGCACACAGACTTGCAAGCAAAGGAAATGAGACGTTTCTCTCTCAGAGCCTGGGACGCGGGCCTATGCCTTGTCTTCTTCAAGGCTGAGAAGCTTTTCTTTGTGACCTAGTCTTGGAACATTTATTTTACTTTGAAATCAGTCCTTCTTTTGGACATCCCAACCCAAAGTCCAGTGATCCAATGTGAATCAGTTCTACTCATTGGAAGGCGTTTCCATCAGGGTCGGGTTTTCTTAGCCAGTCCTTCCACTGCACATCTTGGAGTTTCAACAGTGCCTGCGGTGGGCAGCTGTGTGCAGAAATGCAACAGGAATTGTGTTGAGTCATGGAGCTTTCTGTGGGAGCTCTGGGGAATAGTGAAGGATAGAGGAGTTCATGTTCCTGGGAAAACAAGACTGAGCACTGAAAACTTAGCAAAGACACTACATTCTCTGCTTATTTAATGGATGATAAAATTCAATTCAAAAGTAGAGAGCGAATCATTTTATTTATTAAATTTCTCATGGGAATTTTCATATTTAATGATTTTTAAGCCAATAAATGGCTTTATTTTTCTAGTAATACAACATGTGGTTAGGGCGGGAGGGGGAGGAGGTTGACTAGGAGCTACTACTACATTAGAAACGAGAGTCTCAGAAGCCTTATCTTAGTCAATATGCAGATCTTGGCAGTCACTGAGCTGCTACTTCAGTTTTTTCATCTGTAAAAAAGCAGCCAAGAGTCCAGGGCACCCACCCCATGGACACATTAACTGTGAACACTGCCAGAACCATTTTTCAATACTGTAATTCTCCTCCTGGTCAGTTTTTGCTCCTAGACAGCTGACAACACGTTTCCTTCCATGGCCTCAGTGTAACTTTTAGATGATTCGCTCAAGCTCATAAACTGACTCAGTCTTACCACCCAACCTCATTTCTCTCCACCCATTGCCAGGATGAATTCTCACCTGTGGTAATGCTCTCCAGCTGGAGGCCACCAGGAACACACTGTATAGGTTGAGTTTACTACTCACAGCCAGGGCAAGCACACACCATGGGGAGCCCTGGGGTGTCTCAGCAAAAGGGTGTTAAAAAAAAAAAGATTTTTTTTTGAGACAGGGTCTTGCTCTGTTGCCCAGGGTGGAGTGCAGTGGCACAATCGTGGCTCACTGCAGCCTTGCCCTCCCAGGTTCAAGTGATCCTCCCACCTCAGCCTCCCAAGTAGCTGAGATTACAAGGTACATACCACCACACCCAGCTAATTTTTGTATTTTTTGTAGAGATGGGGTTTCACCATGTTGCCCAGGATGGTCTCAAACTCCTGGGCTGAAGCGATCCACTCTCCTCGGCCTCCCACAGTGCTGGGCCACTATTTTGGGTCTAAAAAGGATTTGAGGGAGAGTCCAAGGAAGCCAGGCTTTGCTCTGCATTGACTACTATTAGGAAGCTGGGGTAATTCTATGATCAGTATGTTATTTATAGGGAGGGCAGACTAGAGGGAAGCTAAAGCTGCAATTAGTAAATAAGCAACTACCATTCATATTAGCTGAGAGGGAGGATGTTTAGTATTTTGTGGCTTGGACAAGGCTCATGTTTTGTCAGGTTCAGGCAGGAATGCCAAGTGGTCTTGCCTTTATCTTGATCCATCGTAGTCACGGTGTGGCCTTGTCTGATATTGATGTTCTGTGAATTGTTTCCCTTCCACAGAGAACACCAAAGTCTAGCTGTTGGTTCCAGGCCAGCTCAGGGCAACACTGAGGGCTACTGATAGTACCAGGCCAGCTCCTGGATGTCAGGCCTACTTTTCTCCTTAGCAGAGAGGGTCTCCTTGCTATCCTCTGACCATGCTACCTCACGCCAATCCCCAAAGCCAGGAATAGGTGAGGTAAGTAGGGCAAAACACTTGGGAAGAATTCACACTTGGGCACCAGCCCTGTGCAGGCATGGCCCTGAGAGGGAGTGGCTCTGCAAGTTTTGTGCATAACTCCCTTCGCTTGCCTCACCTCTGTCCCACTCTACACAATCCTTTAGTCTGGTCTCTGCCCTTCCTTCTTCATTCTCCCACCCTAAATCCTACCCAACTTCCTCCCAAGATCAGACACAGCTTTCCCTTCTCTTACTGGAAATGCTGCTCTCGTGATCACCATAAGAAGAGAGGTTCAGGCCGGGCATGGTGGCTCACGCCTGTAATCCCAGCACTTTGGGAGGCCAAAGTGAGTGAATCACCTGAGGTCAGGAGTTCGAGACCAGCCTGAGAACAACATGGTGAAACCCTGTCTCTACTAAAAATAAAAATTAGTCAGGCATGGTGGCACGTCCTGTAGTCCCAGATACTTGGGAGGCTGAGGCAGGAGAATTGCTTGAACCTGAGAGGCGGAGTTTGCAGTGAACCAAGATTGTGCCACTGCACTCCAGCCTGGGCAACAGAGTGAGACTCCGTCTCAAAAAAAAAAAAAAAAAAAGAAAAGAAAAAAAGAGCCTCTAAAAAAAAGAAGTGAGTTTATCCAACTCACTATAGATCTTAGCCTGGCTGGTTCTTTTTCAACATTCACATGTATTAAATGTGCCCCTGAGATAGGACTTCCCAGCGCACCATAGCTAAAATACTGGACACCCACCCTCAGTCATTCTCTCTCTTTACCTGGTTTTATTTTTTTCACCCATTGATAACTATCTGAACAATTTTTATTTGTTTACATGTTATTTCATTTCTTTCTTTCTTCTTTTTGAGAGAGAGTCTCGCTCTGTCACCCAGGCTGGAGTGCAGTGACGCAATCTCAGCTCACTGCAAACTCCGCCTCCCGATCTCAAGTGATTCTCATGCCTCAGCCTCCTGAGTAACTGGGATTACAGGTATGTGCCACCACGCTTGGCTAATTTTTGTATTTTTAGTAGAGACAGAGTTTTGCTATGTTGGCCAGGCTGGTCTCGAACTCCTGACCTCAAGTGATCCTCCCGCCTTGGCTTCCCAAAGTGCTGGAATTACAGGCATGAGCCACCACACCCAGCCTGTTTACGTGCTATTTCTTTGTCTCTACCAGCACCCCAATGTTAGTTCTGTGACATAGGCAAGTATTTGCCTGTCTTTTCTGCCCCTGCATCTCCAAGGCTTTGTTGTGTATATGTTTTCAATAGCCAATATGCACTTATTGCAATTATATAAGATATACTAAGTGTATGAGATATACATGTATGAGATATAGTTAATGTTCTCAGTGCATGTGTGGGGGGACAGAGGAGGGATGTTGGAATAGAATAGCAGAATCCTGGCCTCATATATGGTTTATAATCCAAGTTTAATCAGTGCTTGAATGATTTTGGATTAAGCAAATAGGTTTTAGCAGATTAAAAACATGGCCTCACATATAAATACTACTAATTGATGCCTTGATTGCCAATCCCTTGAAAAGATCTAATAACCCCAATTAGACTAATTCAAGTTGCCATATACAATTAGCAATGACACTGTACTTTAGGAAATAGAATTTTTAAAATCAGAAATTTTTCCCTAATTATTTCAAATTCATAAAGTTTTAAAATTATAAATTGATGAGGACTTTATGCAGAATTGAATTTCTGATTCAAGCCTTTCTGAAGAGCTTTAGATGATGAGGCTGGAATGGAAAGAACAATTTTGTGGGGAGGGAGGAGTGTTGAATAAGCTCTCCTTTGTCTGCTTAGGTCCTCCCTTACCCATTGTCATCTTCTGGGACTTTTTACAGTTGTTTGTAGTAAGAGAACTCCCATTTTCATCAGTGGAACTGGACAACTACACTGGTCCAATTCAGGCAAATGGATAGAGTTCACAGCACCAAACCAGGTAGGAGTCAAGCCACAGACTGTCTGTCTTTACTCAGAGATAAGTGGCCATTATCATCCTTGTGCCTCTTTGTACTTTACTTTGACCAAATGATCCCTTTGGCTTTCGACTTACCTGGAATCTGCTGCTTAAACTGGCTAGCCTTTATTGGCATTCAGGATCTGTGGGTGGAAATTGGTTGCTGGTATTTCTGAGATGTGAAAATCCTTACCCACCTACTTTGGTTGAAGTGGTTCTAGATTGCAAAGTATTGAATACGGCCGTTTACTTATATAAAAAATACAATAGAACCTTGTATATACATAGACTACCCTCTGGGGAAGAAGAGGTAGGCTTTGGGAAACAGAGTCAAGGTAGACTTTGACTTATCTCTACTATTTGAATTTTTCATAGTGAGAATATATTTGTATGTTATTTATATAATTAAAATATCTTTAAAAAATAAGTTTAGTTGAGAGACAAAAATAATTAATGTCACGTTCTCAATTCTATATCAAGGCTGGAAATAAGAGAAAAATCCCAATTCTCAGTAAGATTGCACACATTTTAATGAAACAACAAAAGGAGAGACAGGAAGCATTCCTAGAGGTCTCTGGTGAAGAAACCTTCATATTCTTATGAAGGAATGACTCATGGATGACTCATGGTCTGTAGCTCCTTCCCCAGTCACTCCCAATTCTTGACTAAAAATATTTGCATTTCTTCCTAGTGCCATCTTCCTCCCACTCTATGCAGTGCCAGCTTGTGCCACTACCATTTTGTGACCTCCCCTTTCTGCTGCTGACCTGATGTTTATGGGAGATCAATTTTCATTCTCATCCATCACTACCAGTATGTCAGTCACTGTGCCTTCCCAGTCCCTAGCCACTTCTAAAGGAACTAGGTGCACCCACAACTTTCCTGGGGTGACTAAACCTGGCTGGACCCCTAACTCAGGGCAGCCCAGACCTCTAGGCTTGTTAGAAGCCCATGAGATATTCCAGCATGAAAAGCCTTTCCAAACAAGGTAAAGCTGGCTTCAGCAGTCTAATTCTCAGGAACTAGAATTAAGAAACACTGAGAAAATGGAGCAGTATATACTGAGAGTTGTTGAGATACTGCAAAAGAAAGAAGCCTTGAAGAAGAGTGGAGACCATGAGGGGTCATAAGTCACTTAAAGTAGAGAGGGAGCACAATCAAGGGGCGGATAGGCGTTAAGAGAAAGATTGTGAGAAAAAGGTGGGAAAGCCAGTCAATGATGAAAGAGAACCAGAGATGCCCCAAAAAACAAACTTGCAGAGGGTCAGTGGGTCATGTTAATGGTGAGTGGCCTTCCAGAAGACCCAGAAGATCCCACACTCGCACTCCCAGAATTGTCTTGGCATCTAAACAACTTTCTCATTCGTCGCCTTGAGACCTGGCTCTGACAACATTCCTACCCTTTCTGAAAGCTGGTGGTTCTGCTTTTCCTGGGTTTCCTGAGACTTTGTCATGAGCCTGAGATCACTGGCTCCTCTTTTCTAAAGGAATGGACATAGCACATTCTTCATTACTTGAGGTGACCTAAGTCTTATTCTTAAAACCAAGAGAACCTAATTCAAATGGTCAGTCCTCTTACTACAAAAGGCAGAATGGAAACAGCTGAGCAGAGTGGGAAAGCTGTGGCCTTCAAAGCAGACTGGTCTGAGTTTCAATCCAGAACCTGCCAAATGTGAGCTGTGAGACTTTTTGGGCAAGTTATCTAACTATAACACTTCTAAGAGTCGTCCTTTTTATCTTTAAATGGCTCCAGTTCAGAATGGCAGAGTGATCCAACAATGGTTTATATAAGCTGCTGGCCTGATGCCTGACACAGACTTAACACTCAATACAAGTTCATACCTTTCCTTCTTCTCTCTGGATACTTCCTGTCTTGCACAATAAAGCCCAAACTACCCCACCCCTCCAGTGGCAGTAGCTATGGTTAAAATTGTCTGCTTCCTGTCTCACTGGGTTCTGCTGTTTTGTGTTCACACACTTCAAGAGTGAAACTCAATCTGTTCAAAGCTGTAAACATGAACTTTGGGTCAGAGTTCGGTCCCCTTTCATTTAGTATCTACCAAAAGTTAATTAGAAGCACCATAATGCAATCAGTTTTTCAGGGCAGGGTGGTGGTGGGGATTACTTTCTTCATATCTACACTCATTCAGCCTGCCATCAACAAACATTTATTGAGTCACCATTGTGTGTAAAGGTACTATAAAGATAGAAGGATCACAGCATTACACACAACGAAATTGAGGTACACAGTGACCCACAGTAAGTTTATTTCCGGTTTCATTTATTTAAGATTTGCAAATGTGTGTTGTATATTTGAACAATGTAGTAAACATTGTGTGGTAGTGCTTAACTCTATTAACCAGATCTTAACTAGGATTAACTAGGATTTCATCTAAAAGTCTCTTGCAGGCCGGGTATGGTGGCTCACGCCTATAATTCCAGCACTTTGGGAGGCCGAGGCTGGTGGGGTCACTTGAGCCCAGGAGTTTGTGACCAGCCTGGGCAGCCTGACGAAACCCTGTGTCTACTAAAAATACAAAAATTAGCTGGGCATTGTCATGCACACCTATAGTCCCAGCTACTCAGGAGATGGAGGTGGAGGTTGCAGTAAGCCGAGACTGCATCACTGCACTTAAGCCTAAGTGACACAATTAGACTCTGTCTCCAAAAAAAAAAAAAAGTCTCCTGCGTATTGCCATAATGTCTTGCTCCTAGACAGGGCTCATTAAATATCGGTAGGTGAATGACTTAATACCTGTTTCAGATGCTTCAGGAATTAGCAAACATCTGTAACTCTTGCTGAGCTAAACCGGAGTATCATGTAGAAAAATATATAGTAGTAGTATAATTATAGTGGTATTAGATTATCCTAAAATCATAAATTTAAGAGGCATCCAAACACATGTTCTTCCTGAGAAACTAATTCTGCCTATTTTCCCTGCTTGGAGCTTTTTTACCTGCAAGTCTACAGACTATAATTTTTGAAAATAGATCCATATAAATCTTTCTGGAACTATTTATGTAAATGCTTTATTTTCCAGTAATCTCAGAGAATTGGCTTTCTGTACCCTGCTAATCTCCTTCTCTCAAAACAAACCAAACAAAAAGAAAACATGCTCCAGGAAACTGAGCATTCTCTATGATCTAATTAAGCAACACAGAAATATTGACATTCCACAAGTACTGACAATTATTTTTTAGCCTAAAAGACAAGAGTAAGTGTAATTATGTTGCCAGTTTAAGATCTACCTTGGAAAAATACAAACTACACCATCAAGAACTCTGTATCCTGCCTGTAATCCTAGCACTTTGGGAGGTTGAGGAGGGTGGATCACTTGAGCTCAAGTGTTCGAGACCAGCCTATCCAATATGGTGAAACCCTATCCCCACTAAAAATACAAAAATTAGCCAGGCATGGTAGTGGGCATCTATAATCCCAGCTACTCAGGGAGGCTGAGGCAGAAGAATTGCTTTAACCCAGGAAGCAGAGGTTACAGTGAACTGAGATCGTACTAGGCAACAGAGTGAGACTCCATCTCAAAAAAAAACGAAAAACAAAAAACAAAATTAAAAAAAATTATCAAAAATCAATGAGAAAACTTGATTAGTAATTAACTCTTTCTGCCACCAAAATGTCAGGGGTATAGTCTATGTCCCATTGCTCGCTACACAGAAAGCCAATCACTGATACAATGAGTATTGCCAGGGAAGAAAGGTTTTATTTAGGTGACGTGAGCCAGGGAGATGGGAAATAAGTCTCAAATCCGTCTCTCCAACTGACTAAAGTTGGGGATTTATATATCAGGGAAGGAATGTAACTATGAGCAGGAAAACAGAAATCAGGGAGGAGTAAGGAAGAGGTGATGGTCAATAGGAAGCACGCAGTCAGTTTGGGAATCATGATGGGTGAGGGATCTGGCATCTCATTGTCTGGATGCAGTGATCTGGTGAGTTTCAGTTCCTTGATACTATCTGAGAAGGCCTGATGATGATTTCCTGAGAAAGGAACTCAGATTGTAAGTTTCAAGCTTTAAGACCAGGAGGGTCAATTTCTATGTTTATTTTAAAAGACTGAAAACATCAGTTCTATGGGAAAATTAGACTGGTTTCATTTCTACTGCACACAAATGTTTCTCCCAGATACATATGTTAGGAAAGTCAGTATAAATCCCAACTTGTGTATGAAGTAATATACCTTCTGCAAGAAAGTCTCTCCTTTAAGTAATGGAAACTTAGACAATGTAGAAACCTAAGCCTAAAATAGCATTTATATTCTTTGGAAGCACTTGTCATCTGTGATGTGATATACAATATATTTCCGTACCTTTGCCTAGAAAGTTGGCCAGAACCCATTTAAATGTTGTTGGTTTAAAAAACGAAATGACAGGCTGGGTGTGGTGGCTCACGCCTATAATCCCGGAACTTTGGGAGGCCGAGGCAGGCAGTTCACCTGAGATTGGGACTTCGAGACCAGCCTGACCAACATGGAGAAACTCCATCTCTACTAAAAATACAAAATTAGCTGGGCGTGGTGATGCATGCCTATAATCCCAGCTACTAGGGAGGCTGAGGCAGGAGAATTGCTTGAACCCAGGAGGCAGAGGTTGCGGTGAGCCGAGATCACACCATTGCACTCCAGCCTGGACAGCAAGAGCGAAACTGCGTCTCAAAAAAAAAAAAAAAAAAAAAAAAAAAAAGATAGACTTATTTTTCACATTGAAACCCTTCAAGTTCTGCAGCAAGGAGAAATCCAAAATAGCTTGCCTAGGGGGCATCGAAATGCCAATACCCAATGGAAGAAAATATCTCATCAAGAAAAAGGTCAAGTTAAACCAGGAAAATGGGAGATGGAATCTAATTACCGTCTCCTAACTCAACATTTAATCATTAGGTAAGTACCATAAGAGAAGATAATGGATGAAAAGGAACATCATAAAGAGAAAGAATCAAAATTACCAAAAATTGTTTAAGAAAGAGAATGACTAGAATCATCCTTTAGGATCCACACCACGAATCAGGTGGCATCATAGTGCACATTATAATGAAATGCAGTTACTTCTCATGATTAAAGGACTTGGAGTGGGGACCCAGACATACTACTTTCTCCAACTTCATTTCATTTTAAGACACAATTTTCTTCCATCATCATTAAACATTTAAGAAATTATTGTGTGTTTTATAATAAGAGAGGTCAGAATGTCTACCTGCTGGCACACTGAGGCTTTTCCTTCTACTTCGGCTGCTATTGTTCTTTTCTTTTCTTTGAAAAAAGACCTGTTCTGTTTCCTTTGGCAATCATTCCTGTACTGTCCTAGGTTTGGCATGCTTCCTGTGACTCCGGCCTGTCTAAAGCGATTCCAGAGGGCAGATCAGTCTTACACTCTCTTCCCCACTTTTCTCAGCTCCTCGAGGACAGCCTGAGTATGTTATGGCTTTCGACAGACAGAGATGTCAATCAAACAGCTCAGCCACCTAGGCTCTCCTCTCATTATTAGGGATGTTTTCCCTCCAGAATCCTCACTCTTATCTTGCTGTGTCTCAGGCAACAGTGATGCCATCTTTTCCACCAAGAAGTCATACACTGAACCTTGAGTTTTTCCCTGAAGTCTCTTTTTTTCTCAGAATTGTTTTATGTTCTTTTGAGTAGCCTTGAATAACAGCAGCATGTGTACCTGTTGATTGTGCTGTCTTTATGGGGCTTCTCCTTGGAGCTCCTTTTGAGCTTAACAGAGAGTCTCTATATAGAAAGAATCACTGTGCACAGAAAGATACACTGGCTGGCACCATGAAGAGCTCTGTGAAAAAGCAGCCTTTATTTTTGTTCAGTGAGATTAATCTGATTAATTCTAACGCTATTATGTTTAAAAACAGCTCATCAAGAAGACAAGCAGAATGATGTACGTTTGATGGCATTTTGGAGTTGCAAAACATATTCACAACACTCCCAGGAAACTGAAGCTCAGAAAGCAGTCCTATCTCCAAATTGCTAGATTTTTCACTACATTGGACCATATAGAGGTCCTTTCCTCCTCAGAGAGTTCTCAGTGAGCACTCTTGTTTATTTCTCTCTGCCTAGGTGTGGTTATTAATTAATTAATTAGTTCAATGATTTGCTAATTTATTCATTCAATACCAGCTCCCAAAGCCCCCTGTTCATTCCCAAAAGGATTTAGGGTGGACGGTTATTATTCATGAAGAAAAACAAAAGGACAATCTTGTTACTCAGCATTTTCTTCACAGAATCCTCTGTCTCAGTGCTGGGTATCTGCTCCTTATCTCTGCCAGCCAAAGAGCAGAGCCTGTTCTTTGGCAATTGCCTTTGCCTTTCTCTTCTGGGCAGCTTTGAAGTATCTGGTTAGAACAGTGCCTGGATGCCTCTCCCACTTCTACTGCTTCACTCTGAAGATAAATGGTTTGTAAGTATCTCCTTTGAGCTGAAAGCCCCCATGTGCAAAACATCTTATAAAGAAAAAGAAATTTCAAGCAGCTTCCCACTGGCTTTCCCTAGAAACGATTAAGTGTCCGTGCATTTAAAATGAATCTACATGATGGCAGGATGTGACACTGGCTGGGTCCATCAGAGCTTGTTCACAGAAACGACTGATACGTAGAAATTTCTCCATACATTCCCCACGAAGCACGCACTTGTTTTTCATGTATACTAACCCTGGAATGACTGCTTTTACAGAAATATATGGCCTTCTTTACCCAGCCTCTTTCAATTGCCATTGTGAGTTCTAAATTCCTCCTGCCTGAGATCTAACTGTGCCATACAGCTTTTTTTCATTTCCCTCATCTGCTCAGGAAAATGCTCCTAGTGTTTCTAGGGAACTTTTCTGATTAGAAGGATTCAAACAAAGAAAATGGCTCAGTTGATAAACATGACCATCTTCCACTTCAAAATGGACATACTCTTTGCCATATGTCGGGAATTATGGAGAGATTCTTTATCATCCCATTATACTCAGCTGTTGTTTACTTTTTGTGAATCGAATGTTGACAATTATAGTCTGAGGTTTTTTTTAACAGCATATGCTGAACATGATAAAATATTTAGAACAACTTACTTTGGACTTATAATTATGCTACATCTTTCAGCCCTTTTATGACTAAATTAGAACATTTAGTAATGTTTGGTGACAACTCCCACACTTTGTAAGCACCACAGAAAAAATATAATTTATTTAATTGGTTTTCATTTGGAAGGGAAATAACCCCATTTCAAGCATCTCAGTGTTAGAAAAGACACTGTATATTCCCCACAAAAATACACAGATGCTCATACATTTGGGGAATTAACATATATCTTCCACAAGGAAACTTAGGAAGGTTATTTCATCATTAATTTACAGCCATTCCTTTTACCTACATATTTTTGCAGAATCACTATTAGTCACCTCCTCTTTCCATCACGTATTCTTTACAGAAGCCCTGAACTTCAGACAGAGACGAGGCTGTTAAATTCTTGTGGGTTTCCAGTGCCACCACAGACAGACTAAATGGCATAATTCATTCAGTAAGTATTTAAGGAGTGCCTACCCTATGCCAGGTCTGTGCTGGGCACTGGGATTCTGAGATGAACTAAATATGGTCCTTTCTTCAAAGTGTTCATAACTTAAAGGCAGAGACAAAGAAGAAAATGCACAATTAAAATTCTGTAGAGAAGAGGGGACTCAGAAGGGCATCTAACTTGGCCAGGATGAGAGAATAGGGGTGAAGCAGGGCAACTGAGAAATATTACCAAGAGTAAGTGACTCTTGAGTGGGTAAAGGGGAGAGAGGAGCTTCATGCAGCGATACCCCCCATTCAAAGGCATGAAGGCAGGAGAAGGCTCCCCTGAGTCAGTGGTAGCCATTAGTTCGGGGTTGGGGAAAAGAGGTGAAGAGATTCAGACTAAGAAGTTAGGTACAGAATAGATGGTGCTGGGCTTTGCACTTGAGCTTCACACTGAAGGCAGTAGGGAGCCCATGAAAGATTCTGCATTTTCTCTGGTTTGTGATCCAGGAGGGGTAGACAGGAGCTGGACAGAGGGCAGTCTATGCCAGATAAACCTGGACCAGGATCAAGGCAGAGCATTGCAGAGGAAAGGACAGATATGAGTAGCCATTTAAGGTGAATCAAATATGTTTTGTTTTGTTTGTTTGTTTGTTTGAGACGGAGTCTCGCTCTGTCGCCCAGGCTGGAGTGCAGTGCGTGATCTTGGCTCATTGCAAGCTCTGCCTCCCGGGTTCACGCCATTCTCCCTCCTCAGCCTCCCGAGTAGCTGGGATTACAGGCACCCGCCACCACGCTTGGCTAATTTTGTTTTTGTATTTTTAGTAGAAATGGGGTTTCACTGTGTTAGCCAGGATGTTCTCGATCTCCTGACCTCGTGATCTGCCCGCCTGGGCCTCCCAAAGTGCTGGGATTACAGGCGTGAGCCACCGCGCCTGGCCGATCAAATATGTTTTAAATGTAGATAATCTTACTTGCAGGGAAGCCCAGGCAGAAAAACTGGAGAAAAGAAAAACATGCCTCATTCCCTTCCTATGACATCCTGTTGTGTCTGAGCTTTATTACTACAAGGTGGGGACACAGACTTTTCTAATGATAGTGGGCTATTTAGCACTTAACTTTAATCAGACCTGGTGCTGAGGCACTTTACATGGAAGGGGATCAGAATATGCCACCCCAAAATATGCCACTTTAGTGTAAGGATTATTTTCAGCTGGAAGCAATTGAGAATCAACAGATGCAGAAAGAGTTCTTTCCTCTCCCCTTATCTGACTAAAAGCAGGGCACAAATTTGCCTTTGTGAAGGTGTTTCCTCTGTGCCAGTAAGGGAAGAACAACCCATCACCAGAGTCTAACCACTTCTTTGAGTTTCACTCCTTTTTTGTGAACTCCTGTGCATGTAAATATTAATAAAAATTTTGTGTCTGCTCTTTTGTTAGTCTGTCTTTTGTTAGGTTAATTTGCACGCCCCCAGCAAAAGAAGAGAGTAGAGGAAAAATTTTTCCTCCCCAACAACATACATCATCTCACTGAACCCTTATCCCTCTTAGTGCGGAAGGTACATACCCCATTTTTTAGATCCAAAAACAAAACTAAGGGATGTTAAGGGGCTGGTCCAAGGTCACGTAGCTAACAGGTGGCAGAGCTGGGATTTGTACCCATGCCTACACGACCACACAGCCTGAACATCCAGCAACTATCCTGCAATTCCAGTGTGTAGGAAACACAGTCTAACAGAGTTAGCAGACAGGGATTGGAGCAGCGTAAAATCCATATTCTAATTCTAGCCCCATTACTATCAACAAAATATTAATCATGTAAATATTTGTGTTGTTCTTTATAGTTCTGATAATAAAGTCATTGCTTCAGTGGTATGACCTTGAGTAAATCGTGTAACCCATCTGTGTCTTAATGTTTTCCCATGAATCAGCACATGGCTTTTAAATTCTTACTATGTTTTAAGTCCTATTCTAATTGGAAGACTGTAATCTTTTATTTTGTTTGAAATAAAATAGCAATGATTTTCACCCTCTTTGTGAGCCCACAAACAAAACAGTAGATATTTAAATTCTGTGGTTACAAGAAAATAAAACAGAAAGAAGTCCTTTCAGTTCTGCTAAATGCAAAATGAACATATATGCAGGCCAGGTGGGGAAGAGATGGGCTGCATTTTTGTCTTGGGCATTAACCAATGTAACTAAGTGGTCAATTGCTATAATTTGAAACAGGAAGGGAAGCAGAAGAACTCCTGTTGATGCTGTTATTTTAAGTAGGTGCATGGTCTATCCTTATCTGGGTAACTTGACTGTCTCAGGCTTGACTAAGCTGCAAGTTCCAAGTTGGTCATATTAACACTGTTTACCTAATCTCAAAGCTCTGAGTGGTCACCGAGGGAGTCCCTAGGAGAGTCATTGTTGATAGAGAGGGTGAGGAGGGAGTAAACTGTAGTTCCCCAGGCTTTTGGACAAGGCTTTTGTTGAGGGGATTCAGAGAATGGTGGGAGCAGAAGAGAGCCAGTGGAATGGAGACAGAGCTGAGGTGGGGAAGAAAGATGGAGCAAGACATAGCAGCTGCTGGCCAGGCACGGTAGCTCATGACTGTAATCCCAGCACTTTGCGAGGCCAAGGCAGGTGGATCACCTGAGATCAGCAGTCCGAGACCAGCCTGGCCAACATGGTGAAACCCCGTATCTACTAAAAATACAAAAAAACTAGCTGGGCGTGGCGGCGGGCGCCTGTAAACCCAGCTACTTGGGAGGCTGAGACAGGAAGAGGTTGCAGTGAGCCAAGATTGCGCCATTGCACTCCAGCTTGGGCGACAAGAGTGAAACTCCATCGCAAAAAAATAAAACAAACAAACAAAACGACATAGCAGCTGCTGCAGGAGAGAAATTTCAAAAAGTGGTGATGAGACATTTAGAAAGGTTTGGGTGTATGATATGTAAATTTCTCTTTCGTCTACAAACAAAATTGCAACAAAACTCTGCCTGGTTAAATGTTGTGCTGGTTATTTGACTGTTTGCCTCCAGATCCATCCTTTGTGTCTGCTCTGTATGTCTGACTGTTGCAAGCTATGATACCCAGGCTCTCTTGACCACCTGTTTTAGCCTCACTTAACCAGCGAGAGGTACTGTTGGAGATTGGAGGTTGGGAGGAAAGGGGAAGCCAAAGTATTTCTTGTCCTCTTTTTCTGCCATGGGAGGCATATCTGGCAGTAGCTGCCCTCCTCTGTGGCTCCAGCTCTTGCCTGAATATTTCTGTTATAATGCTAGTGTCTATCAAGGGACCCCCAGATCCTTCCTTTGTCTCTCCAGTCTTAAGGGTGGGTGGTGGCTTCCCACTTGCTAATCTTTGGGATGCCTCATCTACCCTAGTGACTATTTTAGCTCCTCTAACACCTTTATAATTAATTCTTCGTATTTAATATCTTCTATTTAATAACCTGATGGGACCCTGATCAATACAGAGGAGACGTACCTTTTTTCCTCTCCTGGTTTCTATAACGAGGGAGTTCTCCAAGCACATGTTTTGTTTCCCTTAGCCCTTTTATTCATCCCACCCCTAGGGCTCTGGAGTGAGTAATTGGATGGTAATTTTGGAAGAATCGCTGAGCATGTTGGGTCAGCTTTGCTGCTTCCTATTAGGAGTGGGCATTCCAAGAATGCACAGTATCTCTCTGTATTGCAAGTCTTGCCTGGGCAGGCCTGCTCTAGCCTAGCAAATGCCTGACTATGGGCAAGTCTGTCTGATTTTAGCCCACTTGACCACCAGACCTAAAACCTAGTCTTCTAGCCTGGCCTCTGCCGGTAACAAAGGTGATCCCCATTTGCTCTACCTTTGTTTTATTTCTTCAACTTGTTCAGGATGCAAGTGAGCAAGAAGAGTGCCATTTATTGTGGCTCCCTCCTTCAGAGACTTTAACATTATTCATCAATTCTTTCGGAACTGGATTTATGATTTTTTAAATATGCTATAGTAACAGAGAAGGCCTAAAGGTAGGGGTGTGTGGACTGAGCTGGTGAGACAATGCTTCCCTCCTTAGCAATTTCTGGGACTCGCCAGTTGATCCCACATGTGTCCATGGATCAGCCCTGCTTATTGCTTACTTCCCAACTGCACTCTGTCTCACCTAACAGGACTACAGTGGTGCCATTGAGCTAGAATATTATTCTCAATGGCCAGATGCTTTAACCAAAATTAATGTCTGCTCATGCAGTTGGAATCCTACCATATGATGTTGCTGTTGGAAGTAAAGGCCTGCTGTACTTCAGTGTCAGTAAGATTGACTTCCAGTTGTTTCCTTATGATTCCTGAAACCACTGTCATCCCTAGCTCCCAAGGCAAGACCTTCCTCCCTCGTGCAGAATTCTTCCATGGTCATCCCCATCATTCTTCCTGTAATCTGGCTGCTTTGGAACCACCTGGCATGATTTGAACACAAGCATACATGTCTAGTCCCCTCAGATGTATGTGGTTCAGATTTTTTCTCCCTAGGAGCGCCTCAGATTCTATATAACTCAGGGGCTCAACGTATATACCAGGGGAGGGTTGTCCCTACACTGCGCTCTCCAGAAGCATCAAGTCTCAGCTATAACCTCGTGTCTATATATATATATATATATAGTATATATATTTTGTTTTTTTGAGACAGAGTTTCACTCTTGTTGCCCAAGCTGGAGTGCGATGGCGCAATCTCAGCTCACTGCAACCTCCACCTCCCAGGTTCAAGCGATTCTCCTGCATCAGCCTCCCAAGTAGCTGGGATTACAGGCACGTGCCACCATGCCCAGCTAATTTTTTTGTATTTTTAGTAGAAATGGAGTTTCACCATGTTAGCCAGGTGGCCAAGATCACGCCATTGCACTCCAGCCTGAGCAACAAAAGTGAAACTCTGTCTCAAAAAAAAAAAAAGGCATATTTCTTCAGTTGTATTTGAATACCACGATGGGGTCAGGATTCTGGGACAAGAAGTAGCCAAACTGAGAAACAGATTAGGACCCTGCTGCCGAGGATGTACTTCAGCCCCAAGCATGATGGAATTGATGGAATTGAGGTCATTTATAACAATCCTACACAGAAGCACTGCAGGTTGACTTAGAGCCACTTGCATTTATAATGAAATTTCAGTGATAGGGAACCACTGAGAATGTGGTGGACTCTTTCTTCCTTCTTTATTGTATCCTTGTGGAGCACCAGTGCGTGGCACCCAATATGGGAGTAACCAGTGACGAAGGAATGAATGAAGTTTTAGAGAATTTCTAAGCAGATCATATAGCTCTCATAAAGAAGACAACCATGTTTGGTGCAGCAGTCTAAGACCATTTATTTTTAAAATGCCGATTTAGCCCTTTTCTTCTTGTTTCTAAAACCCTAATTTTTCTTCTGCCATTTTAAATATTTGTCCTGTTATGTTTACCACCTTTCTCCCTCTTATCTATGGGCAACAAACTCCTTGTTATGTGACATGATTAAAGAACATGGATTTTCTTTTGGTTAATGGATTCCAGAAAGAATGGAGCAACTCCTTCTGCTACTATCATCCTCCCTGTTCTTAGGCAAGTTGTTTAACCTCTCCGGGACTTATATTTCTCACTCTTAAGTGACATTAGTAAGAGGAATTCTATGGATCTCCTGCAAGGCATGAGTGGAAGACAAAAAAACAGTTGGAAACGCTTTCTTATTAGCTGGTTGTTGTGGCACACACGTGCAGCCTCAGCTACTCACTCAGGAGGCTGAGGTGGGAGGATTGCTTGAGCCTGGGGAGTTGAGGCTTCAGCGAGCTGTAATAGTGCCACTGCACTCTAGCCTGGGCAACAGAGTGAGACCCCATCTGAATGAAGGAAGGAAGGGAGGAAAGAAACACTTTCTTGAAAGTTAAGCCAGGTGCAGGGGCTCACACTTGTGATCCCAGAACTTCGGGAAGTGGAGGCAGGGAGATGGCTTGAGGCCAGGAGTCCCAGACCAGCCTGGAAAACATAGCAAGTTGCTCCATCTCTACACAATAAAGTCAGCAGAGTGTGGTGGTATGTCTGTGTAGTCCTAGCTACTCAGGAGGCTGAGGCAGGAGGGTCGCTTGAGCTCAGGAGTTCTAGGCTGCAGTGAGCTAGGATCGCACCATTGCACTCCAGCTTGGGCAACACAGGGAGACCCTGTCTCTAAAACAAAACAAAAAGAAAGAAAAAAGAAAGTTAAAGGCCCTGTATTTTATATGCAGATCATTATCACCAATGTAACCACAAAGGGACAAGTGTGATCACCAGTACAGTGAGAGCCAGATATAATATGGTTTTCTTCTTTGAGGTCCGTAGGCCCCCAGAGTTCCTGTGTATATACCTTGGTCATCAGAATCTCCTTTGAATGAGAGACACAGAAAAACATATTCAAGAGAGAAATAGAGATGAAAAAAGGTGCGATTCTGATAATGGTTCAGGAAGGAAACACCTTTCTTTGGATGTAAATTGGGGTTACCTGGGAGCTGAGGAGAGAGTTTCCTGTGTGACTCCCAAGATCTTTTGGGCAGGTTTGTGTGATGTGGCCTTGTCCTTATAGTAAGGAGGATAAGAACAACTGGGAAAGAAACATTAAAGATATGTGTGAGGGTGGGGAAATTGATGGTGTGATAATGATAATGACAGCTACTATTTATCTAATGGCTACCAAATGCCAGGCACTTTATTCAGTTTTGTACTACATTTATCTCTCATCTTCCCACTGCACTATGAGTTAGGTGTTATGATTCTTCGCAGATCAGGGTATAGGTTGAGACAGGGTTCTTAACTTGCCCAAAGTCATAAAACTACTAAATGGCAGAACCATGATGAACCCAGACAAATTTAACTGTTTTTGTTTTTGTTTTTTGCTTAGCTAGACTAATGTTTGCAAGTTCCAAGGGAAGGTGAGAGCCACTAGTCTTTGAAAGGAAGATAGAGGAGAAAAGAATGACAGGATGGCGAGGACTCCGAGACGTGTTCTAATGGCCTCCAGGCCTCCAGAGGGAAGGAGCTGAGTCTGTCTTTCCACTGTCATATCCTCAGCACCCAGTCCAGTTCTGACAAAAGTTAAGTGTTCAATAAACATGTGTTGAGTGAGTGAGTAAATAAGTGAAGGAAAAAATAAATACATTGTCACAGAGACTTTTTGAAGGGTAGAGAAGAGAAAATGAGAAAGTTTGGGTTGATTTTGTATGTTGCATGTCTTTAGAAGAGATATGAAGGGGTGAGAAAAAGTAGGTAAGATTCTGAAAAGCCATATGGGGAATGCAATAGAGAAGTCAACTAAAGATGAAAGCAAGAAGAGATGAGCAGTGACAATAACCCTCTAGAAGTTTGCATGAATTTGTCAATTGTTTCTGAGTAGGACTCTCTTCATCATGGGGCTATAGAAAGGGATTTAGAGTTTCTTTCTATTTCATATAATAATCTGTTATCACTACCATTAATTTTTTTTTTTTTTTTGAGACCAGGTCTCTCACTCTATCTCCCAGACTGGAGTGCAGTGGCGTGGTCTCGGCTCACCTCAACCTCTGCCTCCCAGGCTCAAGTGGTTCTTCTGCCTCAGCCTCCTTCTACCATTAGCTTATTTTTTTTTTTTTTGAGATGGAGTCTCACTCTGTTGCCCATGCTGGAGTACAGTGACACGATCTTGGCTCACTGCAGCCTCCTGCCTCGGCTTCCCGAGTAGCTGGGATTACAGGCTCCAGCCACCACTCCCAGCTAATTTTTGTATTTTTAGTAGAGATGGGGTTGCGCCATGTTGGCCAGGTAGGTCTCAAACCACTGAACTCAAGTGATCCTCCTGCCCTGGCCTCCCAAAGTGCTGGGATTATAGGCGTGGGCTACTGCGCCAGGCCCGAACTACCATTAATTTTTTAAAAACTCACTAATTAAAAATCTGTCATGGCTAGGCACAGTGGCTCAGGCCTGTAATCCTAGCCCTTTGGGAGGCTGAGGCAGGGGGATCACCTGAGGTCAGGGGTTCGAGACCAGCCTGGCGAACATGGTGAAACCCCCATCTCTACTAAAAATACAAAAATTAGCCGGGTGTGGTGGTGCGCACCTGTAATCCCAGCTACTTGGGAGGCTGAGGTAGGAGAATTGCTTGAACCCGGGAGGCGGAGATTGCACTGAGCCGAGATCATGCCACTGCACTCAGCTTGGGTAACAGAGCAAGACCCTGTCTCAAAACAACAACAACAACAACAACAAACCTGTCACATGCAACATAATTCAACATATTTTATAAAATGAGGATGTTGAGATTACAGTCTCAGTTAAGTGGTTGAAGAAACTCACGAGTAGTGCCCCAGAGTTCTAGGAGTCAAATTAGGTGTGCTTTAACTGCACATCTTTAAATGTCTATTTAAATAATAATTATTGCTATATATATTTTCAATTTCACCCATAAATATTTCAGTATATGTCTATAAATGGTAGAGACTCTTTTTAAAAACATAACTATTATATAATTTTCACACCAAAAAGAAATTAAGGCTGGGCACGGTGGCTCACACCTGTAATCCCAATGACTTGGGAGGCTGAGGTGGGAGGATCATTTGAGCCCAGGAGTTTAAGACCAGCCTGGGCAAGATGGTGAGACTGTGTCTTGACAAAAAGTTTTTAAAAATTAGCCAGGTATGGTGGTATGTGCTTGTGGTCCCAGCTACTCAGGAGGCTGAGATGGGAGGATTGCTTGAACCCAGGAATTTGGGGCTGCAGTGAGCTATGATTGTGTCACTACACTCCAGCCTGGACAATGGAATGAGACCCTGTCTCTAAAAACAAATGAAGAAACAAACAAAAAACACAAAGAAACAAGAAATTTAAATGACTTTAATGACATCAAGCATCCAGTGAATGTTCAAATTTCCCCAATGTTTATTTTTTTAACAGATATGCTATCAAATCGGAATCCAAATATGATGTACACATACATTGTAATTAGTTTATATGAATCTTTTGATCTATAAGTCCTCTCTCTCATTGTCTCTATTTATGTGTGATGGAAATGAAGTCTTCTGTCTGTTGAGTTCCCCAGTCTGGATTTTGCTGATTACATCCCCAGGTGTCATATAACATGTTCCTCTGGTCTCTTGTGTTATCTGAAAATGGAATTTGATTCTAGAAGCTTGAAGAGATTTGACTTTTCTAGCAAGAAGCCTTCATAAGCTCCAGGAGCGGTGGCTCATACCTGTAGTTCCAGCACTTTGGGAGGCTGAGGTAGGCGGATTACTTGAGGTTAGGAGTTTGAGACCAGCCTGACCAACATGGTGAAACCCCGTCTCTACTGAAAACACAAAAATTAGCCGGGCATAATGGCAGGTGCCTGCAATCCCAGCTACTCGTGAGGCTGAGGCAGGAGAATCACTCACACCTGGGAGGCGGAGGTTGCAGTGAACCAAGATCGCGCCACTGCACTCCAGCCTGGGTGACAGAGCAAGTCTCCATCTCACACACACACAAAAAAAAAAAGAAAGAAAGAAAGAAAAAATAATCCTTCATAAGAGGTAATGTATGCTTCTATCAGGAAGAACGTAAAGCCTGGACATCTCTTTTTTGAGAAGTTGGCATCCACTGATGGTCATGGTCTAGGTTTATTATTTCATCAGAGGCTGCAAAATGATAATATTCTAATTCTATCACTCATTCATTTATTAGCTAAAATTCTGTTCAAGAGAGAGATTCTTCTCATCTACTAGTTAACCTGAGGTATAGTTTATATATGTAAACACAGGACAAATGTTTTACTCTTCCTTTTTGACTTTTTTTTTTAAGTAGGTTGGCTCTCTAGCATCTGCCAGAGGTTACCAGCAACAAGTACAGATTCTGTACACAGCCAAACTTCCTGGGATCAGAATCCCAGTTTGGCCAGTTGCTAGCCAGATAATTGTGAGCTAGGCTTTTTTTTTTTTTTTTTTTTTTTTTGCATGTCTCTTGAATCATATGAGCTAGGCTTTTAAATCTTCTGAGTCTCACCTTCCCCATTTGTAAATTGGTGATACTCAATGGTATCTTCATCCAAGGTTTATTTTGAGGATTAAATGAGAATATATTGAGAGACACCCTCATTTGAATATATGTATATGTTAGTGTTATATATATTAGAGAGAATATATGTGTGCATGTGTGTGTCCATATATGTTAAAGAAAGCCTTGGCACATAGTAACACTTATATTGAGCACAGAGTAAGCCCAATGTAATGTTGGCTGTCATTAGCGTTGTTATTATTGTTCTTTTTAAGTAGTCGTGGGTGGATTCTAGGCAATGGTATTTTGTAAAAAGACCCCAAATGATTCTACCATGAAGCCAGGGTGGAGAATCCCAATATTGTGAGGTTAAAAAAAATAATGTTTACAAAGTAGGAGAATGAGATGACTCTATCTGTGTTTTTTTTAAAGCCAGCGTGGAGATTGACTCTCTGCTCCTTCGCTCACTAATCGTGTGAGCTTCTACAAGTGAATTAACCTCTCTAAGCCTCAGTTTCTCCATCAGAAATAAGTCTAATAGTGCACATCTCATAGAGTGGCTGTGAGGATTATCAGTTCTGCACAACGCCTGACACAGGGTCAGTGCTCAGTAAGTGTTAGCTGCAATGTGTTAAAAACTGCAGCACAAGGGGGCCGCGCACGGTGGCTCACACCTGTAATCCCAGCACTTTGGGAAGCTGAGGTGGGAAGATCACAAGGTCAGGAGATCAAGACCATCCTGGCTAACACGGTGAAACCCTGTTTCTACTAAAGATACAAAAAATTAGCTGGACGTGGTGGTGGGTGCCTGTAGTCCCAGCTACTTGGGAGGCTGAGGCAGGAGAATGGTGTGAACCCGGGAGGTGAAGCTCGCAGTGAGCCGAGATCGCACCACTGCCCTCCAACCTGGGCGACAAGACTCCGTCTCAAAAAAGAAAAAAAGAAAGAAAGAAAGAAAAACTGCAGCACAGGCCAGAGTCTGTGTTCAAATGACACTTCTCTCTGTGCCTAAGTTTTTCTCTCCACATAACTGGTTTGTTCTGTCTTTTCACCCTTTCTTTATTTAAAACAGAAAGGTAAGCACTAGGAGTTTGAGAAAAATATATTCCATACAAACACCTAAAATGGAAAGGTATCTGTGCTGGGTGTGGTTAACAGCTGGGTGAACTTATGCTCCAGTAGTTCATGGTAGAACATTTTAATTGAAATGGTATTTTAAAGGGAGAATCTTCAAATTGGCTAAGCAAATAAATAAAGGCCATCTGAACAGCTCAGTGCCCAAGTCCAGATGGATTTTCTGTTATATTATTTGTACTTCCTGCTTTATCAAATATTTCATCCCTCTTCCTGTTTCGCGGCTTTAAGTCATTTTTTTGTTGTTATCTACACACTATAAATTCTGGGCATTTCATTTGAGATGCTGTGCTTTAAAAAGAATGTATTTTGTTCTCCCAATATCATAATTCATCATTCATAAAGACAACAGACAAGATAGTCTTTAAGACACAGATGCTAAGGAATGAATTATTGATCAAACCATAAACAAGTTGAAAGATAAAACATATTCGACAAAGCAATTTTAAAAAGTCTTTTCCAAATCTTTCATACTCCAACCCTAGAGATCTATCAGTAATAGAGAAAAATGCCATATATACAAGTAAGACCAACTGGAATAATCAGAGGCCATATTTTTTAAGGCAGTGGTTCCCAATCTTTCCAGCACTGAGATCCCCTTTTATGGTTTTCCCTCCCAAAAGGCCCTGTGTTTTGAAAAGCTGAATGCACCGAACTACATTTATCAATATTTAATTTCTTTCCCCATGTTTTATTAATCAAAGGCATCTAGAACTGTCAAGCAGAACACCCAATCAGTATGAGACAATCTGGGCTACTAGACTGAATTGCTATAATTCTAGCTAAAAGCAAGAAAATATTTGAACTGAAACCATCTTTAATCTGAAAATAGACGTTGTATTTTCTGTCCTGGATGAAGAATGTGGATGACAATCCTGACATTCAGGGCCTTTCCATTTTTGGTTCCAATCTAAAATTGAAACAAAAATTTTGGTAGCAGAATAATGTATCCCCAAAGATGTCTATGTCGTAATCTCAGGAGCCTATCAATATGTTGTTTCCTGGCAAAAGGGAATAAAGATTGCAGGTGGAATTACAGTTGCTAATGTAAAATGAGGAGATTACCCTGGATCATCGGCGGACCCAACGTAATTTACAAGTGTCCTTAAACGTGGAAGCAGGGGGCAGAAGATGTGATGTGATGTGAGAAAGACTCCACCAGCCATTGCTGGCTTTGAAAATGAAAGGGAGTTACAAGCCAAGGAATGTGAGCAGCTTTCACCTGGAAAAGGCAGGAAAATGAATTCTCCTGTAGGGCCTGCAGGAAGGAACACAGCTCTGCTGATGCCTTGATTTTAGCCCAGGGAGGCCCTTAGAGTTCTGACCTCCAGAACTGTAAAATGATAAATTTGTGTTGTCTTAAGCCACTCAGCTTGTGGCAATTTGGTTTTTTGTTTTATTTAATTAATTAATTAATTTATTTATTTTATTAGATGGAGTTTCACTCTTGTTGCCCAGCCTGGAGTGCAATGGTGCAATCTCGGCTCACTGCAACTTCCACTTCCCGGGTTCAGGCGATTCTCCTGCCTCAGCCTCCCAAGTAGCTGGGATTACAGGTGGCTGCCACCATGCCCAGCTAATTTTTTGTATTTTTTGTAGAGACAGGGTTTCCCCATGTTGGCCAGGCTGGTCTTGAACTTCTTACCTCAAGTGATCCACCCAGCTTGGCCTCCCAAAGTGTTGAGATTACAGGCGTGAGCCACTGCACCCAGCTTTTTTGTTTGTTTGTTTGTTTGTTTGTTTGAGATGGTCTTGCTCTGTCATCCAGGCTGGAGTGCAGTGGCACATCATAGCTTACTGCAGCCTCAACCTCCCAGGCCCAAGTGATCCTCCGGCCTCAGCCTCTCAAGTAGCTGGGACCACAGGTATGTGCCACAATGCTTGGCTAGTTTTTTTAAAATTTTTGTAGAGATGGGGTTTCCCTGTGTTGCCCAGGTTGATCTTGAGCTGGGCTCAAGCAATCTGCATGCCTCGGCCTCCCAAAGTGCTAGGATTATAGACATGAGCCACCATGCCCAGCCAGCAATTTGTTATAGCAACCAAGAAAACTAATACATACCCTCTTTCCCCAAATCAATTGACCTTTACTCCCCTCCATGGGCCCCTTGTTCTGGCCCAAGTAATGTCTTCAGTGGTCCCTAGACATGCCTTTTTACCTACTTCTGGATCTTTATGTGTGCCCTCTGTCATTTGGATATCCCACCTCCTCATGTTGGCAGAGGCAAATTCGGTCCATCTTTCAGGATGCAGCTCAGATGCCTCCTCTGCCACTGTCTCCACTCTTCCTGCAACTATCGGAGGCATGCATGCAATCTCTCCCTCCTTTGAAACTCCAGTAGTGCTGTAGCTGTCTCTTTGTCCTGGCCCTTATTACATTTTCTCCTGGATTAGAGTTATTTGTGAACATGCTATGTCTTCTCTGTCAGATTTAAGCTCCTTGACTATAAACCAAGTGTTGATTCATGTCTAAATCTTCTATAATGCTAAGCCTAATACATTATGTCCTACCAACTTAACATATAATCTGAGTCCTTTATATGTGTTCATATGTACCTATATGTGTGTATGTATATAAGTGTATGCGTATATGCAAATGACATTCTAGAAGAAGCATACGCCTTCGCAGGAAGGAATAGGAGGAAAAAAAACCTTAAGGTTTTCCACCAGCTGCCACACAAACGTTAAGCATACCAGACACATCATTATTTGGGACCAGCTTGTGCACTTGTCTGTTCATAAAACTGAGGTGGAACCATGAATGAGTAGAGGGAGTTTATTTCTTGTTGAAGAGTTCCTTATTAAAAACGGGGAGCTGGATCAGAAACGCTCCGTGGACATGCACAGGATCTGAAGAAAGAGAGGAATTGAAGCACATGAGAAACAGGAAGGAGTTCTTGGGCCTAAGTTTTCATTTTGTTTGCGATCCAGCTGCCAAAAATGAATGTGAACCATTTTTTTTAATGCAGATATTGAAAATCTTTCTTTTTCGAAAGAAACTAAACAAACAACAACATCCAAATGACTGATGGCTACCTGACTTATTTTTTTCATGTTTCTCTTTTTTATTATTTTATTTTACTTTTTCCTTTTCTATGTTTAGATTTTTTTTTTTATTTTTTCATAAGTTATTGGAGTACGGGTGGTATTTGGTTACATGAGTATGTTCTTTAGTGGCGATTTATGAGATTTTGGTGCACCTATCACCTGAGCAGTATACAGTGCGCCATATTTGTAGTCTTTTATCCCTCGCCCCCTCCCACTCTTCCCCACAAGTCCCCAAAGTCCATTGTATCATTCTTATGCCTTTGTGTCCTCATAGCTTAGCTCCCACATGTCAGTGAGAACATACGATGTTTGGTTTTCCATTCCTGAGTTACTTCACTTAGAATAATATTCTCCATTCTCATCCAGGTCACTGCAAATGCTATTAATTCATTCCTTTTTATGGCTGCAAAGTATTCCATCAGATATATATATATACACTTATATACCTACACACACATATATATGCACCACCGTTTCTTTATCCACTCATTGGCTGATGGGCATTTGGGTTGGTTCCACGATTTTGCAATTGTGAATTGTGCTGCTATAAACATGCATGTGCAAGTACCTTTTTCGAATAATGACTTTTTTTCCTCTAGGTAGATACCCAGTAGTGGGATAGCTGGATCAAATGGTAGTTCTACTTTTGGTTCTTTAAGAAATTTTTACACTATTTTCCATAGCAGCTGTACTAGTTTACATTCCCACCAGCAGTGTAGAAGTGTTCCCCGTTCACTGCATCCATGCCACCATCTACTGTTTTTAGATTATGTCCATTTTTGCAGGAGTAAGGTGGCATTGCATTGTGGTTTTGACTTGCATTTCCCTGATCATTAGTGATGTGGAGCATTTTTTCATGTTTGTTGTCCATTTGTATATCTTCTTTTGAGAATTATCTATTCATGTCCTTAGCCCACTTTTTGATGAGATTGTTTGTTTTCTTCTTACTGATTTGTTCAAGTTCGTTGTAGATTCTGGAAATTAGTCTTTTGTCAGATGTATAGATTGTGAAGATTTTCTCCCACTCTGTGATTTGTCTCTTTACTCTGCTGACTGTTCCTTTTGCCATGAAAAAGCTCTTTAATTAATTAGGTCCCAGCTATTTATCTTTGTTTTTGTTGCATTTGCTTTGGATTCTTGGTCATGAAATCCTTGCCTAACCCAATGTCTAGAGAGTTTTTCCAACGCTATCTTCTAGAATTTTTAAAATTTCGGGTCTTAGGTTTAAGTCCTTAATCGATCTTGAGTTGATTTTTGTATAAGGTGAGAGATGAGCGTCCAGTTTCATTCTCCTACAGGTGGCTTGCCAATTATCCCAGCACCATTTGTTGAACAGGGTGTCCTTTCCCCACTTTATGTTTTTGTTTGCTTTGTCAACGATCAGTTGGCTGTAAGTATTTGGGTTTATTTCTGGGTTCTCTATTCTGTTCCATTGGTCTATATGCCTATTTTTATACCAGTACCACACTGTTTTGGTGACTATAGCCTTAGAGTGTGGTTTGAAATCAGGTGGTGTGATACCCCCAGATTTGTTCCTTTTGCTTAGTCTTGCTTTGGCTATGCAAGACTTTTGGTTCCATATGAATTTTATAATTGTTTTTTCTAATTCTGTGAAAAATGATGGTGCTATTTTGATGGGGATTGCATTGAATTTGTAGTTTGCTTTTGGCAGTATGGTCATTTTCACAATGTTGATTCTACCCATCCATGAGCATGGGATGTGTTTCAATTTGTTTGATGCCATCTATGATTTCTTTGAGCAGTGTTTTGTAGTTTTGCTTGTAGAGGTCTTTTGACTCCTTTGTTAGGTATATTCCTAAGTATTTTATTTGTTTATTTATTTGCAGCTATTGCAAAAGGGGTTGAGTTCTTGATTTGATTCTCCACTTGGTTGCTGTTGGTGTATAAAAGAGCTACTGATTTGTGTACATTAATCTTGTATCCAGAAACCTTGCTGAATTCTTTTATCAGTTCTAGGAGCTTTTTGGAGGAGTACTTAGGGTTTTCAAGGTAAATGATCATATCGTCAGCAAACAGTGACAGTTTGACTTCCTCTTTGATGATTTGGATGCCCTTTATTTCTTTCTCTCATCTGATTGCTCTGGCTAGGACTTCCAGGACTATGCTGAAGAAGAGTGGTGAGAGTGGGCATCCTTATCTTGTTCCCAGTCTCAGGGGAAATGCTTTCAACTTTTCCCCTTTCAGTATTATGATGGCTGTGGGTTAGCACAGATGGCTTTTATTACATTAAGGTATGTCCCTTGTATGCCGATTTTGCTGAGAGTTTTAATCATAAAGGGATGATAAGGCTGGGCACAGTGGCTCATGTGTGTAATCCCAGCACTTTTGGAGGCTGAGGCAGGCGGATTACCTGAGGTTGGGAGTTCGAGACCAGCCTGGCCAACACGGTGAAAGACAAAAAGACATCTGTACTAAAAGACAAAAATTAGCTAGGCGTGGTGGCACACATCTGTAATCCCAGCTACTCGAGAGGCTGAGGCACAAGAATCACTTGAACCCAGGAGGCAGAGGTTTCAGTGAGCTGAGATCGTGCCACTGCACTCCAGCCTGGGCGACAGAGTGAGAGTCTGTCTCAAAGAAAAAAAAAAAAGGATGATGGATTTTGTTGAATGCTTTTTCTGCATCTATTAAAATGATTATGTGATTTTTGTTTTAATTCTGTTTATGTGGTGTATCACATTTATTGACTTGCATATGTTAAACCATCCCTGCATCCCTGGTATGAAACCCACTTGATCATGGTGCATTATCTTTTAGATATGTTGTTGGATTTGGTTAGCCAGTATTTCGTTCAGGATTTTAGCACTATGTTCATCAAGAATATTGGTCTGTAGTTTTCTTTTTTGGTTATATCCTTTTCTGGTTTTTGGTATTAGGGTGATGCTGCCTTCATAAAATGAATTAGGGAGGTTTCCTTCTTTCCTATCTTGTAGAATAGTGTCAAAAGGATTGATACCAATTCTTCTTTGAATGTCTGGTAGAATTCTGTTGTGAGTCTGTCTAGTCCTGGACTTTTTTTGTTGGAAATTTTTAAATTGCCCTTTCAATCTCGCTGCTTGTTAGAGGTCTGTTCAGGGTATCTAATTTCTCCTGACTTAAGCTAGGAGGGTTGTATTTTTCCAGGAATTTAACCATCTCTTCTAGATTTACTAGTTTATGTGCGTAAAGGTGTGCATAGTAGCCTTGAATGATCTTTTGCATTTCAGTGGTGTCAGTTGTAAAATCTCCTGCATCATTTCTTAGTGAGGTTATTTGGATTTTACCTCTTCTTTTCTTGGTTAATCTTCTAATGGTCTATCGATTTTATTTATATTTTCAAAGAATCAGATGTTTGTTTCATTTATCTTTTGTATGATTTCTTTTTGTTTCAATTTCATTTAGTTCTGCTCTGATCTTGGTTATTTCTTTTCTTCTGCTGGATTTGGGTTTGGTTTGTTGTTTCTCTAGTTCCTTGAGGTGTGACCTTAGATTGTCTGTCTGTGCTCTTTCATACTTTTTGATGTAGGCGTTTAGGGCTGTGAACTTTCCTCTTAGCACCGCCTTTGCTGTATCCCAGAGGTTTTGATAGGCTGTGCCATTATTGTCATTCAGTTCAAGAATGTTTTAATTTCCATCTTGATTTTGTTTTTGACCCAGTGCTCATTCAGGAGCAGGTTATTTAATTTCCATGTATTTGCATGGTTTTGAAGTTTCCCTTTGGAGTTGATTTCCAGTTTTATTCCACTGTGGTCTGAGAGAATGCTTGATATAATTTCAATTTTCTTAAATTTATTGAGGCTCGTTTTGAGAGATAGGACTAGCTGGATTTCCTAGGCCAACTAAGAATCCCTAAGCCTAGATGGGAAGGTGACCGCTTCCACCTTTAAACATGGGACTTGCAACTTAGCTCACACCCGACCAATCAGGTAGTAGAGAGAGCTCACTAAAATGCTAATTAGGCAAAAACAAGAGGTAAAGAAATAGGCAATCATCTACTGCCTGAGAGCACAGTGGGAGGGACAATGATCGGGATCTAAACCCAAGTATTCGAGCCGGCAATGGCTACCCTCTTTGGGTCCCCTCCCTTTGTATGGGAGCTCTGTTTTCACTCTATTAAATCTTGCAACTGCACTCTCTTCTGGTCCATGTTTGTTACTGCTCGAGCTGAGCTTTCGATCACCATCCACCACTGCTGTCTGCCACCGTCGCAGACCTGCCGCTGACTTCCATCCCTCCAGATCAGGCAGGGTGTCCACTGTGCTTCTGATCCAGCGAGGTGCCTATTGCCGCCCCCGATCGGGCTAAAGGCTTGCCATTGTTCCTGCACAGCTAAGTGCCCAGGTTCATCCTAATCGAGCTGAACACTAGTCACTGGGTTCCACAGTTCTCTTCCATGACCCAAGGCTTCTAATAGAGCTATAACACTCACTGCATGGCCCCAGATTCCGTTCCTTGGAATCTGTGAGGCCAAGAACCCCACGTCAGAGAACACGAGGCTTGCCACCATCTTGGAAACGGCCCCCCACCATCTTGGGAGCTCTGGGAGCAAGGACTCCCCAGTAACAGTTTTATGGCCTATCATATGGTCTATGCTGGAGTAAGTTCCATGTGCTGTTGAATAGAATGTGTATTCTGCAGTTGTTGGATGAAATGTTCTGTATATATCTGTTAAGTCCATTTGTTCCAAGGTATAGTTTAAATCTATTGTTTCTTTGTTGACTCTCTCTCTTGATGAACTGTCTAGTGCTGTCAGTGGAGTGCTGAAGTCCCCCACTATTATTGTGTTGCTGTCTATCTCATTTCTTAGGTCTAGTAGAAATTGTTTTATAAATGTGGGAGCTCCAGTGTTAGGTGAATATATGTTCAGGATTGTGATATTTTCCTGTTGGACAAGGCCTTTTACCATTATAGAATGTCCCTCTTTGTCTCTTTTAACCGCTGTTGCTTTAAAGTTTGTTTTGCATGATATAAGAATAGCTACCTCTGCTCACTTTTAGTGTCCATTTGCATGAAATGCCTTTTTCCACCCCTTTACTTTAAGTTTATGTGAGTCTTTACGTGTTAGGTGAGTCTCCTGAAGGCAATAGATGGTTGGTGAGTTCTTACGCATTCTGAGGTTCTGTATCTTTTAAGTGGAGAATTTAGGCCATTTACATTCAATGTTAGTATTGAAATATGAGGTACTGTGCATTCATCGTACTCTTTGTTGCCTGTGTACTTTGTTTTTTTGTTGCTGTTTTTGCTTTTTAACTTGTATTTTTGTTTTATAGGTCCTGTGTGACTTATCCTTTAAAGAGGTTCTGTTTTGATGTATTTCTAGGATTTGTTTTAAGATTTAGAACTCCTTTTAGCAGTTCTTATAGTGGTGGCCTGGTAATGGCGAATTCTCTCAGTATTTGTTTTTCTGAAAACAACTGTATCTTTCCTTCATATATGATGCTTAGTTTCTCTGGATACAAAATTCTTAGTTGATAATTGTTTTGTTTGAGGAGGCTGAAGATAGGGCCCCAATCCCTCCTAGCTTGTAGAGTTTCTGCTGAGAAATCTCCAGTTAATCTGATAGGTTTTCCTTTATAGGTTACCTGGTGCTTCTGTCTCACAGATCTTAAAATTCTTTCCTTCATCTTAGCTTTGGATAACCTGATGACAAGGTGCCTAGGAGAAGATCTTTTTGTGATGAATTTCTGATGTGTTCTATGTGCTTCTTGTATTTGGATGTCTAGGTCTCTAGCAATGCTGGGGATGTTTTCCTCAATTATTCTCCCAAATATATTTTCTAAGCTTTTAGAATTCTCTTCTTCCTTGGGAACACTGATTGTTCTTAGGTTTGGTCGTTTAACATAATCTCAGACCTCTTGGAGGCTTTGTTCATATTTTCTTATTCTTTTTTCTTTGTCTTTGTTGGATTGGTTTAATTTGAAGAACTTGTCATTGGGCACGGCCCAGCACTTTGGGAGGCTGAGGTGGGTGGATCACCTGAAGTCAGGAGTTTGAGGCCGCATGTCCAACATGGAGAAACCCTGTCTCTACTAAAAATATAAAATTAGCTGGGCATGGTGTAATCCCAGCTACTTGGGAGGCTGAGGCAGGAGAATCGCTTGAACCCGGGAGGTGGAGGTTGCGGTGAGCGGAGATCGCACCATTGCACTCCAGCCTGGGCAGCAAGAGTGAAACTCCATCTCAAAAAAAAAAAAAAAAAAAAAAAGGCCTTGTCTTTGAGCTCTGAATTTCTTTCTTCTACTTATTCAATTCTATTGCTGAGACTTTCCAGAGCATTTCACATTTCTAAAAGTGTGTCCAAAGTTTCCTGAATTTTGTATTGTTTTTTCTTTAAGCTATCTATTTCCTTGAATATTTCTCCCTTCACTTCTTGTATCATTTTTTGGATTTCCTTGCATTGCGCTTCACTTTTCTCTGGTCTCTCCCTGATTAGCTTAATAACTAACCTCCTGAATTCTTTTTCAGGTAAATTAGGGATTTCTTCTTGGTTTGGATCCATTGTTGGTGAACTAGTGTGATTTTTGGGGGGTGTTGAAGGGCCTTGTTTTGTCATATTACAAGGATTGGTTTTCTGGCTCCTTCTCATTTGGGTAGGCTCTGTCAAAGGGAAGGTCTAGGGCTGAAGGCTGTCGTTCAGATTCTTTTGTCCCACAGGGTCTTCCCTTGATGTAGTACTCTCCCCCTTTTCCTATGGATGTGGCTTCCTGTGAGCTGAACTGCAGTGATTGTTGTCTCTCTTCTGGGTCTAGCCACCCAGCAAGTCTACCAGGCTCTAGGCTGCTACTGGGGGTTGTCTGCACAGAGTCCTGTGATGTGAACTGTCTACGGGTCTCTCAGCCGTGGATACCAGCGCTTGTTCTGGTGGAGGTGGCAGAAGGTGCAATAGACTTTCTGAAGGTCTGTAGCTTTGGTGGTTTAATGCTCTATTTTTGTGCCGGTTGGCCTCCTGCCAGGAGGTGGCATTTTCCAGAAAACATCAGCTGTAGTAATGTGGAGAGGGACCAGTAGTGGGTGGGACCCTAGAACTCCCAAGATTATATGCCGTTTATCTTCCACTACCAGGGTGGATAGGGAAGGACCATCAGGTGGGGGCAGGGCTAGGCATACGCTCAGACTGTTCAGGAGGCTCAGACTCTCCTTGGGCAAGTCTTGCTGTGGCTGCTGTGGGAGATGGGAGTGAGATTCCCAGGTCACTGGAGTTGTGTACCTAGGAGGATTAGGGCTGCCTCTGCTGAGTCATGCAGGTTATCAGGGAAGTGGAGGAAAGCTGGCAGTCAGAGCCCTCACCCAGCTCTCATGCAAACGGAAGGGCTGGTCTCACTCCCACCATGTCCCACCAACAGCCCTGAGTCTGTTTCCAGGAAGAGGGAGAGATAGGCTTGAAAACTTGCCCAAGGCTATCTGCCTCACAGCTGTGAAAGAAAAGGGCTTTAGTTCTTCCCCTACGAGTGAAGTCTGCATACTGGATTCACGCCCTCCCCTGAGTTCTGGCCAGGAGGTTTCTCACCCTGTTCAAATTGGTACAAATTTCGGCTAGAGCATTCCTTCTCCCTGTGGAGTTTTACCCCCTGCATCTCTGGCCACCCTCTCAGTGGATCCCTGTGGTGCCAGGCAGGAATGGGCTGCAGGGGCACCCAGCGAGCTTCCAGGGCCTTTCTGCCGCTTCCTCTACCCCTGTTTTTCGCTTGGCTCTCTAACTTGACTCAGCTTCAGGTAAAGTCAGAAACTTCTCCCACAAACAGATCTTCGGCTTCTCCAGTGGGGGTGTGTGTTCGGGAGAGGAGGGTCTCCCTTTCCCACTTCTGCAGTTGTGGCACTGCAGTTGGGGCACTCACAGTATTTGGGGGTCTCCTGGGTCCTGCAGGAGCAGTCTGCTTCCTTCAGAGAGTCTGTGGATCCTCTCAGGATTGCTGGTTTGTTCTTGCAGTCGATCTGGAGCTAAAATTCACAAGGCAAGCCTCTGCATGCCGCTCTGTCTGGAGCTGTAATCTAATCCTGCCTCCCATCCGATATGATCCCAGGAGTGGCATACCTGACTTATGTATCTGCCATACGAGGCCATTTTTTAAAATTGAAATGTTTTGGCTCTAAGATAAGCAGGTATTTTTGTAGCACCATAATTTCTGGTTCTGTGAAAATTAAAAAAAAAGTTTTTGTAAATATGTTGCCCATTAAAGCAATTATTTCAGCTATTTTTTCACTTCCGTCTTTCTAAAATAAACATTAGTCACAAGAATATACATCCTTCCAAAAACCGTTTTAATCCTAGTACATTTTTAGTTCCTTTCCTCTCTGAATCAGGAAATGATAGATCGTGGATGCATTTTTAATTGTTTGTATTTATTGACTATTTACTAAGCGCCAAACATTATGCCAAGTGCCTTACAGATATTATGGCATTTAAAACTAACAGTCCTATGAGGTGTGTGTTTTTATTTTCATTTTAAAGTTTAGGTATCTGAGCCATAAAGAGTTTAAGATTCTCGCAAAAGTTCCCATCACCAATAAAGGGCATACACTCAATTTTCTCCAAGATGTGTGCACCCCCAAGCCCATGTTCTTAACCTCGATACCATCCATACCCTCTCTGTGGGCTACATACTAGACAGCAGAGGCAGTTATATCACTCCTATAGGCAGACATCACCTTCTAACCTTAGATATTCAAATTTTAAGGAAACTCCAGAGCAGGATTTTTCAATTTTTTTTTAACAACAATCCATAATAATAATGACATTTTACTTCTAGTCAGAATACACACATAAACACACACACACACAAACACACATACATGCCATGGAATAGTATCATTATTACTTGATTTGTACTCTGATTTTTTTATTCTGTTCCAAATAAATTCTGGTCAGGATGCACTAAATTTATTTTTACAATTTACTAATGAAGCATTACTTTAATTTTGAAAAATACTGTACTAGTGCATAGCCAGTCTGTGTTACAGTTACCTGTTTGAAGAGAGCTCTACCATCTTAGGCAAGTTATTTAATTTCTGAGTCCTCAGTTTTCTCATCTGCCAAATGAAAAGGCTGAACCAGGTTAGTGATTCTTTTTTTTTTTTTTTTTCTGAGGCAAAGTCTCCCTCTATTGCCCAGCCTGGAGTGCAGTGGCGAAATCTCGGCTCACTGCAACCTCCGCCTCCTGGGTTCAAGTGATTCTCCTGCCTCAGCCTCCCGAGTAGCTGGGACTATAGGCACACACCACCACGCCCGGCTAGTTTTTGTATTTTTAGTAGAGACAGGGTTTCACAATATTGGCCAGGCTGGTCTCGACCTCCTGACCTCGTGATCCACCCGCCTCGGCCTCCCAAAGTGCTGGGATTACAGGGATGAGCCACTGCACCTGGCATTAGTGATTCTTAATCCTGGTTGCACATTAGAAATACCTGGAGAACTTTTAGATACACTTGTCTCCAGGTTTTTGCCCTCAGAATTTCTGATTCTGATTCTGATTTAATGGTTTTAGGGTGGGGCCTATGCCCTGGTATTGTTTTTTTAACAAACATCTTAGTGATTCTGAGGGAAATGGTCTAAGAAATACTGCATCACATCATCTCAGCAACTGCTTTTATGGTTTCCACAGTCTGTAGTGCCTGGCACTGGGCCTGTGGTCAGTGCTCTGAAATGTGTGTTAAGTGACTGCACCAACCAGCCTGGCCACTCTGGCTACCCTCTGCCAACACCCTGGGCTTCATGCCATTTCCATCCGTTCTTTGATCCCTTTTCTAACTTAGCTCAAATAAAGAATCACAATCTCCCCTCTCTTCTGCTCAATCCATAATTATCTCCTTAAATATTAAAATCACATTCAAACTGGATTCCTAATACTCTGAGAGGCAATTACATGGTAGTAGCTAAAACAATAGCATGAACTTGGAACAATCTTTAATTTTATTTGACAAATATTTTATTTTTTTATTTTTATTTATTTATTTATTTGAGATGGAGTTTCACTCTTGTTGCCCATGCTGGAGTGCAGTGGTGTGATCTCAGCTCACCACAACCTCTGCCTCCTGGGTTCAAGCAATTCTCCCACCTCAGCCTCCTGAGTAGCTGGGATTACAGGCATGTGCCACCACGCCTGGCTAATTTTGTATTTTTAGTAGAGAGGGGGTTTCTCCATGTTGGTCAGGCTGGTCTCGAACTCCCAACCTCAGGTGATTCACCCACCTCGGCCTCCCAAAGTGCTGGGATTACAGGCATGAACCACTGCGCCAGGCCCTATTTTTTGAGAGAGTCTCTATTGCCCACGTTGGAATGCAGTGATGTGATCATAGCTCACTGTGGCCTTGATCTCTTGGGCTCAAGGGATCCTGATTAAAAAAAAGTCTTCTGTAGAGATGGGATCTTACTGTGTTGCCCAGGTTGGTCATGTACTCCTGGCCTCAAGCAATCCTCCCACCTGGGCCTCCCAAAGTGCTGGGATTAACAGCATCAGCCATTGCACCTGATGGACAAATATTTTTAAAGTAGTAACTATGTGCCAGTCACAATTCTAAGGGCTTTATAAATACAATTTTAGTTGTCCATAATAATCTTATAAGAGATGCTATCATCCCCCTATTTTATGGATTAGGACCCTAAATCCCACTGCATTTTTGCTCAATGTTTTGCACTGATTTTATTCAATGTTTTGAAGGGCGTTATGATTATTATTATTTATAAAACAAAGGATACCGCATGAAGTGAACAGAGAATTTCAGTTAATATTTTATATGATGCTTGAAATTAATTTAATCCTTGGAGTAGCTGCAGCAGGCAGACCTCCTGTATATATGGGTTTCATCTCCACCATTACAGGTATTTCAGTGGAACGGTTTGAGAACCTGGTATTAAGGAATTACTCAGTAAAGCACTTTTAATTTAATACCCTCTGCTAAGGCCCGGCTTGGTGGCTCACGCCTGTAATCACAGCACTTTGGGAGGCCGAGGCGGGCGGATCACCTGAGGTCAGGAGTTCAAGACCAGCCTGGGCAACATGGCAAAACCCTGTCTCTACTAAAAATACAAAAATTAGCCAGGTGTGGTGGCATGTGCCTGTAGTCCCAGCTACTTGGGAGGCTGAGGCAGGAGAATGGCTTGAACCCGGGAGGTGGAGGTTGCAGTGAGCTGAGATCATACCATTGCCCTCCAGCCTGGGTGACAGAGTGAGACTCCCATCTCAAAAAGAAAAATACACTCTGACAACAATTTTCTTGAATACTCTTATAATATGGTTTTCTTATTCAATCTTTTTCTCTAGCCATGAACGTTTTATGAAGTTCCTCATACAAAATCAACACTTTTTATTGAGTTAACAAATATGTACTTGCCAATAAACAAATAAGAGACCAATATA
The DNA here is from genome assembly GCF_000001405.40 of Homo sapiens. Taxonomy (NCBI): domain Eukaryota; kingdom Metazoa; phylum Chordata; class Mammalia; order Primates; family Hominidae; genus Homo; species Homo sapiens. Next base: position 47,245,912 of record NC_000012.12, on the reverse strand, counting down.
TCATTTGCCAACTCACAGATACATAAATAACTTTACCTTGATGTGTAAACATTTATTTATTGGTTGATTAAAAAAGATACAATCCCAAAGTGAAGATGACTCAGCATACAAACGAGTGTTTTTACCTTTTGCCTTTACTAACTGGCACAATGGGCTAGGTTTATAAAGCATAGGGAGGCTAAAGATCACCTCTATCTGTCTTAGTTCTTAAGAGGGATCTTCAGCTGCATCTAGGAATCAAATTGACACAAGGCAGATTAACAGAAGAAAAACATACAAGTTTTCTTCTTCTTTTTCTTCTTATTTTGAGACAGAGTCTTAATGTGTCACCCAGGCTGGAGTGCAATGGCACGATCTTGGCTCACCGCAACCTCTGCCTCCCGGGTTCAAGCCATTCATTCTTGTCTCAGCCTCCTGAGTAGCTGGGACTACAGGCATGTGCCACCAGCCCAGCTAATTCTTTGTATTTTTTTAGTAGAGACGGGGTTTCACCATGTTGGCCAGGCTGGTCTCAAACTCCTTACCTCAGGTGATCCACCCACCTCGGCCTCCCAAAATGCCCAAGTACAGGCATGAGCCACTGCGCCTGGCCCAGTTTTATTATTTTTACATGTGTACTTGGGGACCCTCATGAGAGTGAAGATCTGAAGAAATGGCCAAAGCAGAAAGCTTTTATATGTTTTAGAAAAAGAATCATAAATTGTGAAGAGATGGGCCAGGGGCAGTGAATTCAAGGGGAATCATTAGGAGACCTACGGGAGTGTGTAAAGCTAATGGAAGATAAAGGTTTCTTCAGTAGGTTTATTTGTACAGATCCATTGCAGCAACAATTCCTGGTCTTTGGAGATAAGGGTTATTTTCTTGCCACAGTATGAGGAAGGCATCCTCCTCAAAGGAATTTTTATGGCTTGCCACACGAAGGAAAGGACAGGTCAGATAACTCTTTCTGCAATTACAGTTTCTCAAGTGCTTGTAGCTTGAAATAATCAAAGTATCAAATTGGCATATGTCTGGAGTGGATAGTCCTTAACTCCTTCAAATGCCATACCTAATTCCCAATCTTTGGCTTCTTTCCATCCTTGAAGCCAAGACCAATTATCCTCTATCTGCAGATTCACCTCCACCGGATCTATGTCGTTGCTGTCTGTCCAGCTATGAGCTTATTTCCCCATGCTGATAGTCGGGCTCTTGGGTTATTTCAAAGACCGGCTTCTAAATAAAACCTCATTTCAGATGAGTGTCATGTCTTTTTCCCATGCCTGGGTCATAGTCAGTAGAGCCCCAACTAACTGGGAGGGGCAGTCTGAGGGTAGAGTCTTGTTATACCCACTGTCATACTTCATGGTAGCCAGGCTTTCTGTAAGAAGTGTGTCTTGGGGTAAACAAATAGCCCCAGTTGAAGACAAAAAGAATCTCTCTCTCTCTTTTTTTCTTTCAAGATAGAGTCTCACTCTGCTTCCCAGGCTGCAGTGCAATGGCGTGATCTCCGCTCACTGCAACCTCTGCCTCCTGGGTTCAAGGGATTCTTGTGCCTCAGCCCCCTGAGTAGCTGGGATTATAGGCGCCCATAATCATGCCCGGCTAATATTTGTATGTTTAGTAGAGATAGGGTTTCGCCATGTCAGCCAGACTGGACTTGAACTCCTGGCCTCAGGTTATCTGACTGCCTTGGCCTCCCAAAATGCTGGGATTACAGGCGTGAGCCACCGCGCCAGGCCAAAAATCTCTTTACAAGAGAATGCCAGCTAAGAAATGTATAAGGAATGGTAAAATGAGAAAAATGACCATTTTCCCACCCCTAATGAAGTCATTGTTTCAAACAAGAATGATCAATGGATGCTAAAACAGTTACGTGAAAGATTAGGAAGACAGGCATGTTAGCTCGTGCCTACAATTCCAGTTACTCGGGAGGTTGAGACGGGAGGATCACTTGAGCCCAGGTATTTAAGACTAGCCTGGGCAACATGGCAAGACCCTGTCTCTACTTTTTTTTTTTTTTTTTAAAGATTGATGAAGAATTGAAATATGTATATGGTACCAGTGTATCACCCCACAAGATACTTGCTGGGCACACCCCACAAGTTGTAATTGGACAAACAAAACTTTTAAGTAGAGGCTTCTGGCTGTTTTCCTTTTTACTTGGTGATCAATCTTAGCATCTAATTCTGGGAAAACCGTTCATGTGTCTCTGGTTGTGGTGCAATACGAAGTACACTGTCTTGCCTATGAAATAACCTAGCAAAAATGTTTCACTTGAATCTAATCAAGACTTAAGATCTAACATTCACTTTATAAGAAATACAGGGGATAGGCCAGATGCCGTGGCTCACTCCTGTAATCCCAGCACTTTGGGAGGCTGAGGCAGATGGATCACAAGGTCAGGAGTTCAAGATTAGCCTGGCCAAGATGGCGAAACCCCTTCTCTACTAAAAATACAAAAATTAGCCAGGTATGGTGGCAGGCACCTATAATCCCAGCTACTTGGGAGGCTGAGGCAGAGAATTGCTTGAACCCAGGGGGCAGAGGTTGCAGGGAGCCAAGATCGCACCACTGCATTCCAACCTGGGCAACAGAGTGAGACTCCATTTCAAAAAAAAAGAAATACAGAGGATAAAGTAAAGTTTAAATAGCACCATGAAGAAATCATTAGACAAACCCAGAAAGTGGAATATTCTACAGGATAAGTCTTTTCAACAAGTTAATGTCTTAGAAAAAAGAAAAAAGACACTGTGTGTTGGGTTCTATTTAGCTTAAAAGAGATTTGAGAGACATAAAAGTCAATGCAATGAGTGATTCTTTAGTGGATCCCAGTTTGAATAGATGCAGAAAACATTTCTGGGACTGAGTATCAGATAATAACAGCAACTTATGTCAATTTTGTTAAATATGATACTAATCCTGCAGTTATGTGGGAAAATGTCCTCATTTCCAACATATGAAATATTTATAGATGAAATATGAACTAATTTACTTTAAAATACTTCAGAAAAAATATGAACTGGCAAAACATTAACAATGGTTAAATCTAGGTTATAGCTATATGATTCTATGTTTTGTTTCTTTGGAAGAATAAAAAAAGTGGTGGTTTTCAAAGTGTGGTCCTCCTCATCTGAGAACTTACTGGAAATGCAACTTCTAGGGCTCTACTCTAGACTGAGTCAGAAACTTGGGAAGACGGGTGGTTGGGGGACAGCAACAGTGTCCTAACAAGTCCACCGGGAGATTCTGATGCACAGTAAATAGTTTGAGAGCCACTGCCTTAGGGCTGGTGCAGGTAGGGAAGAGTGGATGGTAGGGAAAGGATCAAGCTGGTGGTGAGACATCACTATCAGGAGGAAATACAAGACTACTTGTGAAAAATTAGCCCATGCTATGTAGACATGGGAGTAGGAAGTAAAGACAAGCCCAGCTCAAGAAGCCAGGAAACAGTCTAGTCAAAGAGGTATCATGATTACAGGGCCAAAGAGGGTACCTGCCCAGAGCCTAGACGAGACTTGTCAGGTCACATGGTCTGGTTATGTCTTTTCTTCCAAGGATGTCCAGCTCATCTACAGGAGCTCCTGCTGGTGCTCTCATTCTTCTAAGATAGGCCCTTTCCTAGGGACTGGAGTCTGCTCCTAACAACATTGTTAAGTGTTGATAGAGTGAGCTGCTGTTGAATGACTCTCTGCTCAGCTTCAGAATACTGTTTATTCTCTACTTCCCAATTACCACGTTCCACTGGGATATGTCTTGGGATATTCTGTGACCCTGTGCCAAGCATTGAATACCTGGGCTGGAACACTTCTGCTGCACATCATACTCCACAGGCTGGACTGGTTGTGGCCCAGAGCTTATTATTAAGGTTGGCTGTCTCAGTCTCCCATTTTAGAGGAAGAAGAGGGCAATCATTTTTGGTCCAGTTTATCTTACTTCAGCTAACCAGCCGTTCCCACACTTGTCCCAAGCTTACCTAACAAATATTAGCTCTTGTTTGGGCACTGCTTATTACAATGCTACATCACAAAAGGGCTTCGTATATAAAATATCACTCACAAACCTTCTTTTCTCTTCACTTACCCTTACCATTTTATTTGGCATTCTCTAGAATATTATTTCCCAAAATACGTTTTTAACAAGATGCTAAGGGTGGGCACGGTGGCTCATACCCATAATCTCAGCACTTTGGGAGGCCAAGAAAGGAAGATCACTTAAGGCCAGGAGTTCAAGACCAGCTTGGGTAACATAATGAGACCCCATTTCTAGAAAAATTAAAACAAGCCGGGCGCAGTGGCTCACGCCTGTAATCCCAGCACTTTGGGAGGCTGAGGTGGGTGGATCACGAGGTCAGTAGATTGAGACAAGCCTGACCAACATGGTGAAACGCTGTCTCAACTAAAAATACAAAAATTAGCCAGGCCTGGTGGCGGGTGCCTGTAATCCCAGCTACTCCGGAGGCTGAGGAAGGAGAATCGCTTGAACCCGGGAGGCAAAGATAGCAGAGAGTCGAGATCGCACCACTGCACTCCAGCCTGGGTGACAGAGCAAGACTCTGTCTCAAAAAAAAGAAAAAGAAAAATTAAAATAAACAAAAAAATAGCTGGGAGTGGTGGCATGTGCCTATAGTCCCAGTTACTTGGGAGGCTAAGGCAGAAGGATCACTTGAGCTAGGAGTTGGTGGCTGCAGTTAGCTATGATCATGCCACTGCACCTAGCCTGGCGACAAAGTGAGATCTTATCTCTAAAAATAATAAATAAATAAATAAAAGACGCTACTTATGAAAATGGTTCTGGGTTAAACACATCTTGGGAATACTAAGTTAAACACACTTAGTCAAGTTTATTTCATGCAGAACTTCTCAGAGCCTCTAATCTATTAAAGGTCATTGTGAATTTCCGCATGAAGCAATTTTACAAACATCCTTTTACAAACATCCTTGCCTATAGAATGCATATGGAGTAAAACCTATGGGTCAAAGGGACATGTTTTAGGAAACGTTTCTTTAAAGTTAAATGGGTAAAGTCTTGTGACAGAAACTACAGATGCTCCTTAACTTACAAAGGGGTTAAGTCTTCCGATAAAAACTACAGATGCTCCTCAACTTACAAAGAGGTTATGACCCATCATAAGCTGAAAATATTGTAAATCAAAAATGCACTTAATTCCCCTAAACTTCTGAACATCATAGCTTAGTCTACCCTACCTTAAATGTGCTCAGAACACTTGTATTAGCCTCCAATTGGGCAAAATCATCTGGCAACACAGGACGCTGTAGAATATCTATCAGTTGTTGCCTTCGTGGTGGCATGGCTGACCAGGAGCTGCTGCGGCTGTACTGCTCAGCATTGAGAGAGATTATTGGACTGTTTTGTTTTGTTTTGTTTTGTTTTTTCAGAGAGGGTCTCACTCTGTTGCCCAGGCTGGAGTGCAGTGGTATGATCATAGCTCACTGCAGTCTTGAACTCCTGGGCTCAAGCCTCAGCTCCTACCTCAGCCTCCTGAGTATCTGGGACTACAGGCACTTGCCACCATGCCTGGCTAATTTAAAAAAATTTTTTATATAGAGATGGGGGTGTCACTGTGTTGACTAAGCTGGTCTCAAACCTGGGCTGAAGCCTGCCAAGGTGCTGGGATTACAGACGTGAGCCACCACACTCGCCCTTTAGACCACTTTTTAATGAATGCATATTGCCTTCCCACCATCGTAAAGTTGAAGAATCGTACATTGAAACTTTGTAAGTCAGAGACTGTCTGTGTATCTATAAAATTAAGCATGCCATGATAGAGCTCTTTCTTGAGTTATGAGAACGAGAATATTATTCCTGGAGTTACCTCTATGGTAACAAACATACAATAGTTTAAAACAACAGTAATTTCTTTCTCTCGCATGCATCTTTTTTTTTTTTTTTTTTTGAGACGGAGTCTCGCTCTGTCGCCCGGGCTGGAGTGGCGCGATCTCTGCTCACTGCAAGCTCCGCCTCCCGGGTTCACGCCGTTCTCCCGCCTCAGCCTCCCGAGTAGCTGGGACTACAGGCGCCCGCCACCACGCCCAGCTAATTTTTTGTATTTTTAGTAGAGACGGGGTTTCACCGTGTTAGCCAGGATGGTCTCGATCTCCTGACCTCGTGATCTGCCCGCCTTGGCCTCCCAAAGTGCTGGGATCACAGGCATGAGCCACCGCGCCTGGCTTCACATGCATCTTAACGATTTAAGTTTTTGAAACAACTTACTTTTGCAGAAGTCGTGAACATAAAATTGTCGAAGAGACGGGCGGCCGCTTTGTACAACTCCAGATTTAACCGTAAATGTTGCCTCCTGGCAGCAAGAGCAAGAGCTCTGTGGCTGACCGTGAAGGGCTGTTGTTGGTCCTACTCTGGGAGGGAAGGTTTGGTTTGTTTTCAAATGCCGGACCTTGCTTTCTTTGCGCATATGGAAAAATATTGCTACAGCTTTAAAATCTGGCCTTTGGTATATTAGTATAAAATCTTGTGAGAAACATGCTGCTTCGATGATGTCAATGTAATCATTAATTTTACTTTTCCAGGAAATTTAAGACAAGAATCAAGTATGTAAATCTGTGAGTGCTGTCGTTTCTTGAGGATGGAAAATAGGCCAAATGAATCCTGCATTCTAAACCTCAACAGTGGAGCAATAATTTCTCTCACAAATGCTGAATATTTTTGGTTCTTTTTACCAGACAATAGCTTGATTGCACTGCTAGGTCTCCTCATTTAAGGAGCAAGGTGAAAATAGCAAATATGGGCAAAGAAGAAAGCCCTAGGCTGGAAGATAAAGGCCAGGATATGTATGAAATTAAAGGCAAGCATTCACTGAATGTGCTGTCTGAGTCTTACTCCCAGTGGGTGGAGGGGTGGGGTGAGAGGAAGAGGGCTAGCCACCCAGCATAATTTAGGTAAAGTTATGGGAATGTTCTGCAGACATTTTCTAAGTAATCAAATGCTGCTCAATTTTTATTTTTTCACAATAGCTGTTTGGGCTGATGTTGCTCAATCTTAATACAAACTGCATTCTTAGTTGAGTACTGAATGTGAGTGAATTATGTGCTTGAACATTTAACTAAAGCATAAATACTTGAAAACCTCTTTATCAGGCACTGTGCTAGTAGGCCTTGGGAAGTCCAGAGTAAACAAGACTCATGGAACTTTCATTCTAGTAGGGAGGCTAACAAGCAACTACTGAAGCCATTGCAGAGTGAGGTAAGCCATACAAAGGAAATAAAGAGTGCTATGACAGATCATCACAGAAATGGTCCTGAAAGGCCTCTTAGGAGGGAACTTGCAAGGTGAGAATGGAAGGATGAGTTAGGAATTAAAAGACCTAGGAAGTATGGGATATAGAACAATGCGGTAAAGGAAATAGCAAGTGCAAAGGCCCAAGTTATAAAAGAGCTTGTTGTGCTGTATCAACAGAAAGAAGTCCTGTGTGGTTGAAAGAATAAAGAGCAATAAAGAGAGTTCCAGAAGATGACATTGCCAGGGCAGGTAGAAGCCTGATCATGTTAGACAGTTAGACATAGTAAAGGTTTTATTTTGGAGTGATGGATTTCAGACTTCTGACTTCCAGAATTAGGAGATAAATGTGTGTTATTTTAAGTCACCAAGTTTGTGGTGTTTTTTTACAGCAGCCACAGGAAATTAATATAACTGCGAAGGAAAAGATTTCCCCTGCTCGAGTCTCCCTGCACTCCTACCCATCTGAGAGAAACAGAACTGTTGAGTAGCTGATGCAATTTCATCCATAATATTGTGGATTCACCATTGATTCAGCATCTGATCCTCAGCACTGTATATCTAAGAACTCATTCTCCTTGGTTCATCAGGCATGATCAGATTAAGGATTCATACACACTGACCTAACTCACAGGAGAGAGTTATAAATCAGAACACCAATTTATTGCCTTGTTCATGGAAATAGAAACACTACATGTGTCAGCTTACTCAGATCAGCAGCTAAACACTGTTCAGTGTTGATTGGGAAATATAAAGCCAGAATGAAGGCAGCTGGTTCATCTTGATAGCAAATGTTACCAAATCTCATAGTCTGGTGCCCTAATCTCCATGGGATTAGAACATGTACATCGACCAGAGAGGTTCTCTTTCTCCTGACTATGCTGGGACATTCTGGCAAATTCTGACTCATCACTCCCTTTCTAGAATCCTTAAAGACCATCATCACGCTATTTCAAGAATATTCCTTCAGATGTGTTACAAAGATTAAATGTTGATTTATGGTATCTCTAAAGATTTGGATTGTAGTCTCATCAGAAATATTTATTTATAAGCCATCTCTTCATTCACTCGTTGATTCATCCAGAAATGCTATTCAGTATTTATTAAGTGCCAGGCGTTGTGCTAAGATTTGAGACACAGAGATAAGATAAAGGTCCCATTCTCCAAGACTCTTGTTTTTTTAGTGGATTAAAAGCTGCTAATGTATTCCTTCTGTAGATATACATAATTTCACCAATTTCTTGTGACTTCATGAACCTTATTTTTGCAAGACAACATGTCCTAATTCTTGTCAAATTTAGGGATGGTGGTATTGGGGAGCTACAAACCAGTCAAATCAATTCAATGAAAAATCCTATTATTTGAACAATTTTAATCACATCTGATTTTGACTATTTTATCTAAGTGTTAACATTTCACTAGTTGAGTGTTACAATGAGCCTAGCATTTAAACAGTCTTAGTTATGTTAACATTCTTAAAAACAGAGAAGTGGCAGCCAGGCACGGTGGCTCATGCCTGTAATCCCAGCACTTTGGGAGGCCGAGGCGGGCGGACGCCTGAGGTCAGGAGTTCAAGACCAGCCTGACCAACACGGAGAAACCTCGTCTCTACTAAAAATACAAAATTAGCCAGGCGTGGTGGTGCATGCCTGTAATCCCAGCTACTCGGGAGGCTGAGGCAGGGGAATCGCTTGAACCTGTGAGGAGGAGGTTGCAGTGATCCGAGATCATGCCATTGCACTCCAGCCAGAGCAACAAGAGCAAAACTCCGCCTCAAAAAAAAAAAACAAACAAAAAAAACCCATCAGATCTTGTGAGACTCACTCATTATCATGAGAACAGCATAGGGGAAACTACCCCCATGATTCAATTACCTGCACATGGTCCCTCCCTTGACACATGGGGATTATTACAATTCAAGATGAGATTTGGGTGGGGACACAGAGACAAACCATATTAAGAACTAATCATTTAATGGAGAGGCATCCATTAAATATAGACACATGCAAAACCCACAACTACTTCTGTGCAACTTGTTTATTTCCATTTTATTTTTACACAAAGGCAAAGAGAATAGGAGTGAGGAGGCAGGAATAACGCTGGGTCACTCCCAGGAAGTGGGGAAGAGGCTGCAGCCAAGAAGAATGAGTCAGGCTGCTCTTCCTTGGCTTTCTTGGTAACAGCAATGAACAAAAGGAAGACGAGGCATGGACTCCAGGCTTAAGTTAACAAGGTCAGTCTGTTCAGGCCAAGCAATGGAAAGGAAGTGTCAGATCTGTCCAATCCATGTTCATAAAGAGGAAATAAGGCCTAGGTCCGTCTATTGAGGCCTTGGCTCAGGATTGGCTGGGGCCCTTCTCTTTGAAGGTCGAGGCCGCTGTCCCCAGGGCGTATAGGGGCCACGGGGACGATACCTGCCAAAACCCCTATGTACCACTGGGGCAGGCCGCTGATAACGGGGTGTGGGGAAGAAGGGCATAGGCAGCTGAGGACCAACCATAAAATTGTCTTCGACGAAGAAACCTGCATGGGCTGATGAGGGGACATCTGAATGGCAATAGAATTGATCCGACTGGAAAGTATGGTCTGAGGAAAAACAGGCATCTGGGGGACCCTGTGGGAACCGGGGCATTCCCTGGTGATGGAGAATGGGAGGAGGAGGCTGTGGGGACAGGAGCGGGAGCAGCGGCAAGCGCTGGGGTGGGAACCCAAGCAGGGGGCGGTATGTGGGGGAAGGTAAGGGTGGGGACAGAGGTAAGGCCGGGTGATTTCTGTTGGCCTGGGGCGGCCCTTCGACTCTCGGGCCAGGTTTTTTCTTCTTGATCCACTCGCCCACGGGGTGGCGGTGGGGCAGCTCCACACCCCAGGCGTCGGCCACGTGGGCCAGCAGCAGCTGGGAGAGGCAGCGGTGCACACGTCCATTCCAGTGCACCCCGTCCCAGTGCAGGTTCTCCCTCGCGTGGCGGAAGTGGAAATGCAAGTCCAGTACATCGAAGTTATGTTTACGTGCCTCGGTGGCGCTGTGGAAGTTGGCTTTGACCACTTCGTTTTTCAGGAAGGTGGCCTTCTGCCGCCGGAGCTTGGGCGGAAGAAAACCCCCGGTGACTTCCTCGCCCACAGGCATGGCCGTGTTCCACACCAGGAGGCAAGACTCGGGCAGCACCTGGCCCAGGCACTGGAACAGGTTCTCCAGGTTCTCCAGGTAGCTTCTCCAGGAGTTCGGACCATACCTGGAGATGTCCCAGAGGCAGGAATTCATGATGACCAGGTCGGGGGCGTGCTCGCCCGACTGCAGCTCTTTCAAGATGGTCTGGAGGTAATCGGAGTACACGCGGGTGAGGAAGTAAAAACGTACCAGATGGTGGTCGGAGCGGAACTCGCGGACCTCACGGTAGTTAAGGCCGTTGTGCATGTGGCCCCGCTGGCCTCCGTCCACCAGCTCATCTTGTTCGAAGTTCAGCTCCCCCCTTGCTCTAAGCTGCCCGGGAGTGAGCAGGCGGTCCTTCTGCAGCAGAAGCACCAGGTCCTTGTATACTGCCCTATGCACAGAGTCCCCCAGGATGACCACGAACTTATTGTGAAGCAGCTGCCGCACTTCGGAGGCCCGCAGAAGGATCATGACGCCCAGGGCGCACAGCCTAGCTCCTTCCTTTGCACAGGATGGCTCTGCGGATGGCTAGGACAGAAGGAGAGAAGGGCTGGGAGGGACTCACCTCTGGGCGGAGCGCCCAGTGCAGGTTGGGGGTAGGGAGACCATGGGGAAGGGGATGGCGCTGTGGCCTCTGCCCTGAGGGAGTGGACCTGGAGTGCCCGCATAACAGGCTCCACCAAGCCCGGACCTGGGAGATTGGCGAGAGGGCAGGAAGGGAGCCAAAAGCCTTGTCTAGTGGCAGTTCAGGCCTGGGGCTTGACCTATGAATGACCTGAGGCTGCTGTTGGAGGCTCAGGTTCCACCTGGTGGGGAGGAGCCAAGTATGATCCACCCTCCCCAGGGATGAGAGTGCTAGCAGAATGCCTAGCCAAGAGCCTGGAGGCAGCCCAGAAGCCTAAGTGGATTTGGTTAGCGCTATGCCACTGTTAGATAATGAGGACCCCAAGTAAGCAAGGACATGGAGAATGTTTGTGATATAATGTTAAGTGGAATAAGTTACATCCCATACTGAATGCCCCATCACTTAAACTATATAAAAGAGATATGCATAGATAACATTGAAAGGAAATATGTAAAAACATATCTTCATAGAATAGGATTATGGTTGACTTCTCTCCCCTTTTATTTTTGTAAATATTCTTTACAGTCTTATATCGCTTGTTATAACTTTAAAAGAATTAAATGAAATGCAACAGGTAACACAAAGAAAGAGTACCTGTGCTAGCTCAAGAGCATAAAAACAGGCCGGGTGCGGTGGGATTACGCCTGTAATCCCAGCACTTTGGGAGGCCGAGGAGGGTGGATCACCCGAGGTCGGGAGTCCGAGACCAGCCTGACCAACACGGAGAAACCCCGTCTCTACTAAAAATTCAAAATTAGCCGGGCGTGGTGGCGCATGCCTGTAATCCCAGCTACTTGGGAGGCTGAGGCAGGAGAATTGCTTGGACCCAGGAGGCAAAGGTTGCCAGTGAGCTGAGATCGCGCCATTGCACTTTAGCCTGGGCAAGAGAGAAACTCCGTCTCAGAAAACAAACAAAAACAAAAAACAAAACAAAAAAAACCCCTAAAAACAGATTTCTTTTACAAGGAAGTAGCTGTTTCTCATCAATAGGACTGAAAAAAATCAAGATAAAACTGGAAATAATTTGAATACATTTCAGCTGTAATATTCTTTGCTTTACATTTGAAGAGAACCGGAATATGCCACCCCAAAATGTGCACTTTAACATGAGGATTATTTTGAGCAGAAAGCAACTGAAAATCGACAGATGCAGGAAGAGTTATCTGCCCTCCTCTTATCTGCCCTAGAATCAGGGCATATATTTCCTTCAGGAAGGTAAACACCCTTCCCCCAACCAGGGAAAGAGGAGCAACTCTTATCAATCAGACAGGTTATCATCCTTTTCACCGAAGACAGGGAATGGACACCAAGATGATTTTTCATAAATAGACCTTACTACAATAGCCCTTATCTTCCATGAGCTCCCCCCATTTATTTCCCAGTCACTTCCCCACAATTCATCATCCCTTAAAGCCCAAAGCCCCTTGAGTTTCACTGTTTTCCGGTGCACTCCCTGCCTGCAAATATTAATTTAAAAATTGTGGCGGCTCACGCCTGTAATCCCAGCACTTTGGGAGGCCAAGGCGGGTGGATCACGAGGTCAGATCGAGACCTTTCTGGCTACCACGGTGAAACCCCGTCTCTACTAAAAATACAAAAAATTAGCCGGGCGTGGTGGCGGACACCTGAACAGACTGAGGCAGGAGAATGGCGTGAGCCCAGGAGGCGGAGCTTGCAGTGAGCCAAGATCGTGCCAAAAATTGTGGTGGGCGCGGCAGCTCACGCCTGCAAACCCAGCACTTTGGAAGGCCAAGGTGGAAGGGATCACTTGAGCTCAGGAGTTCGAGACCAGCCTGGGCAACATGGCAAAACCCCATCTTTATACAAAAATTAACTGGGCATGGTGGCGCACGACTGAGGCGGGAGGATGGCTTGGGCTCAGGATGTTGAGGCTGCAGTAAGCAGTGTTCCAGCTACTTCACTCCCGCCTGGGCCACAAAGTGAGACCCCATCTCTAAATAAATTAAATAAATAAATAAATAAATAAATAAATAAATAAATAAAATTTCTAGGTCTGTATCTTGGCAACACACACACAACATAAATAAATAAAAGTATGTGCTTTTTCTCCTGTTAATCTGTCTTTTGTTAGTTTAATCTATACGCCCCCAAGTACTGATGCTAAAAGAGTAGAGAAAAAGTTTTTTCTCTCCAACACATTGGATGCAATGTTAAAAACTGTGAAACTCATCTTCAAAACTTCAGATTATTTCAAGTTGCCATTTACAACTCATATCCACAGATGACTAAATAGTAGAAACACTAAAATACTGCTAACAGATTGCAAATGGGAGGAACATGGCATCCACTTCATCTACTTACACAAAAGCCTTGAAAATCCGGTGCGGCTTGAAATTTGTAAGATTTTACGCATTAGTAAACATTTTAATAGATGTAGGAACATTTTAATAGGTATGGGTGGATAGCTATTATTAAATTACACATTCAAGTTTTAAAAGCTATATATCCTATTTGTAGTTTTAAATGGGTATAAATACAAAAATGAAAATATTAAAACAGATAGAATATTAAGTTTCATAAGAGAACAGTTGAAAATATTGACATCTTCCCCACAAAGAATTTTCATTAAAATATTTTTGCTATCAGAATAAAAGTTTTGGCTGGGTGCAGTGGCTTATGTTTGTAATCCCAGCACTTTGGAAGACTGAGGCAGGAGGACTGCTTGAGACCAGGAGTTTGAAACAAAGAAAAACAAAACAAAACTGAAGCAAACTCCAAATCCCTTTGGGACTCAAGCATGTTCATTTGTTTAGATTCATTTATTTCTCCAACTCACACTTAATAAGTGCCTACTATATGCTCCACATAGGGAGTATAAAAATAAGTAAAATATGGTCTTGCGCTCTAAAAGCAGATCAGAAATACTAGTTGATAATTGTACTATCATGTAGAAAGTGGTAAGGGCCATAAACTGTGAAAGTCTAGGGGTCTTTGGGAATAGTATTCCTTCCCACTCTAGACTCAAGTCTCCAAAGTGCAAAATGTGAAGACGGAAACCCTTTCCTATTGTGTTTTCAGGGCTCCCATGCTGCCCCAGCTCGATGTGCCTTCCCTGGGCCAGCACTCTGGCCGTAATCTGTGCCCTAATACACCTTCCCCTGTTAATACAGTTCTGTCCCGGAAGCTGGCAGATCTAATAATTTAGTGCTGTCTCTGCTACAGTGTTACTTCTGGAATGCTCTAATGCATTCTTTCTCTGGGAGTGAAGTGCCCTAGACTTGGAAAGATATAAGTTCAAGTCCAAAATATGCCTCTCTGATACAGATATTTTTGAGCGAAGATGCTTGTGAAGCAGCGGTGGCAGAAAGGGCCTCCAGATCTGCCCTTTCTTATCAAGCCATAAAAATTCCTGTGAAAAAGCGGCCTTCTCTGCACCAACACGAGAAGATAACCCTTGTTTCCAGTGACTTAAGAAGTGATGCTGCAATGGAGCTGTATAAATAAACTTACTGAAAAAACCCTTATCCTCCACTAGCTTTAGCACCCTCTCCAATTATCTCCTAGCGACTCCCCTGGAATTTACTACCCCCAGCTTATACCCCTTTGTCCTGTCATTTCTTCACAAAATGTGTAGTTCTTTGTCTAAAAGGTATAAAAGCTTTCTGCTTTGGCCATTTCTTGGGGTCTTCACTCTCTTATGAGGGTCCCCATGTACATGTAAAAAAATAATAAAACATACGCGCTTCTCTTCTGTTAATCTGTCTTGCATTAATTTGGTTCCAAGCCCACCCGAAGATCCCACTTAAGAACTAAGATGGGCAGAGGATATCCATCGGCCCCTCTACAGAGTATTAGCAAAGAGCATTGCGTTTGGAATCATACTACCTGGGTTTGAATCCTAACTCTTCTGTTTGCTAGCATTTTGAACTTGGGCAAGTTATTTAGTCTTTCTATGACTTAATTTTCCAGATCTGTAAAATGCACCTATTAGTACACTTCATATATCTGATGTGAGGATTAAACGTAAACTGTTTGTAATAATGCCTAACAAGTAGGAAGTGCTGCTAAATTAGTTATTATTATTAAAAGTTGAGCATCCCTAATTCAAAATTCCAAAATTCTTCCAAACCCAAAACTTTTTGAGAGCCAACATGATGCTCCAAGTTACACTGAACACATTACTTTTTCACTATATTAATGGTATGTTGGCCAGGCGAGGAGGCTCACGCCTGTAATCACAGCACTTTGAGAGGCCGAGGCAGGTGGATCACTTGAGATCAGGAGTTCAAGACCAGCCTGGCCAAAATGGTGAAATCCTGTCTCTACGAAAAATACAAAAATTAGCCAGGCATGGTGGCACATGCCTGTAATCCCAGCTACTCGGAGGCTGAGGCGGGAGATCCCCTGAACCTGGGAGGCGGAGGTTGCAGTGAGCTGAGATCGCACCACTGCACTCCAGCCTGGGCAACAGAGTGAGGCTGTGTGTCAAAAAAAAGGGAAAAGTGTGTCATATTTTCTACTATGAAGTACTTACGTGTGAATAAGTGTAAGAAAATGATTACTTTGGCCAGGCGTGGTGGCTTATGCCTGTGATCCCAGCACTTTGGGAGGCCAAGGCAGGAGGATCACGAGGTCACGAGATGGAGACCATCCTGGCAAACATTGTGAAACCCCGTCTCTACTAAAAGTACAAAAAATTAGCAGGGCGTGGTGGCTGGGGCCTGTAGTCCCAGCTACTCGGGAGGCTGAGGCAGGAGAAAGGTGTGAACCTGGGAGGCGGAACTTGTAGTGAGCCGAGATCCTGCCACTGCACTCCAGCCTGGGGACAGAGTGAGACTCCGTCTCAAAAAAAAAAAAAAAAAGAAAATGATTACTTGCTGAGTGCAGTGGCTCACGCCTGTAATCCCAGCACTTTAGGAGGCTGAGGCGGGCAGATCACGAGGTCAGGAGATTGAGACCATCCTGGCTAACACGGTGAAACCCCGTCTCTACTAAAAGTACAAAAAAAAATATTAGCCGGGTGTGGTGGCGGGTGCCTGTAGTCCCAGCTACTCGGGAGGCTGAGGCAGGAGAATGGCAGGAACCCGGGAGGCAGAGCTTGCAATGAGCCAAGATCGCGCCACTGCACTCCAGCCTGGGTGACAGAGAGAGACTCCATCTCAAAAAAAAAAAGAAAAGAAATGATTACTTGTTGGTTGCCTCTAAACATATAAGCTGAGTCAGAAATGATGGTGATGTCATACAACCACAGTCCACATGAGTGGTTAAGATTGTGACACCTTTGCTTTCTGATGGTTCAATGCACACAAACTTTGTTTCATGCACAAAATTTAAAGTATTGTATAAAATTACCTTCAGGCTATGTGTATATGCTGTATATGAAACATAAATGAATTTTGTGTTTCCACTTGGGCCCAATCCCAGCCTACGTATGGGCATCCCCACGTACATGCAAATATTCTGAAATCACCCAAAAATCTGAAATCCGAAACACTTTTGAGTGTTTTTTATTTTCTTATCTTTTTTTTTTTTTTGAGAAGCAGTTTTGCTCTTGGTGCCCAGGCTGAAGTACAGTGGTGCAATCTCAGTTCACTGCAAACTCTGCCTCTTGGGTTCAAGCGATTCTCCTGTCTTGGCCTCCCGAGTAGCTAGGACTACAGACGTGCACCACCACGCCCAGCTAAGTTTTTATATTTTTAGTAGAGATGGGGTTTCACCATGTTGGCCAGCTGGTCTCGAACTCCTGACCTCAGGTGATCCACCCTCCTCAGCCTCCCACAGTGCTGGGATGACAGGTGTAAGCCACCGTGCCCGGCCTGAAACACTTTTTATTCCAAGCATTTTGGATAAAGGATGTTCAACCCATACTTAAGAAGTTTCAAAATACCAGGTTAATCATCAATAAAGAAGAGATTACAATATTTGTTCTGCTTGTTTGTCAGGGTTCTATGAAGATCAAATTAGATGATGCAAGTGAAATATTTTGGCTAAAACAAAATTAATGTTTATTGAACAGCTACTAGATCCCAGGTGCTTTACCAACATTACCTCTTCATGAGGTAACTTTTTTTTTTTGAGACGGAGTTTCACTCTGGTTGCCCAGGCTGGAGTGCAGTGGTGCAATCTCAGCTCACTGCAACCTCCGCCTCCCAGGTTCAAGCGATTCTCCTGCCTCAGCCTCCTGAGTAGCTGGGATTACAGGTGTGCATCACCATGCCCGGCTAATTTTTGTAGTTTTTTTAGTAGAGACGGGGTTTCACCATTTTGGCCAGGCTGGTCTTGAACTCCTGACCTCAGATGATCTGCCCGCCTTGGCCTCCCAAAATGCTGGGATTACAAGTGTGAGCCACTGCACCTGGCCCTTTATGAGGTAACTCTTATTCCCATTTTATAAGGAAAGATATTGATGTGATAGAGCTAAGATTTAGTCCAAAGTCTATCTCTAATAGAAGAAGGATCTTCTCTTATCTTTTGCTTATTCATAGTCAGGCAACCCTCTCCTCTGCCCAGGAGAGATGGTCATGAAGGGAGGGGATGGGTGGTGAATGAGTATAATCCCATATCCTAATCTCAAGCAAGAGACATAAAAACACATAAAGACCTTGAATTCAGAAGAACCCAGGCAGGGCACGGTGGATCATGCCTGTAATCTCTACACTTTGGGAGGCCAAGAAGGGCAGATCACCTGAGGTCAGGACCAGCCTGGGCAACTTGGTGAAACCCTGTCTCTACAAGAAATACTAAAAATTAGCTGGGTGTAGTGGCACACGCCTGTAATCCCAGCTACTTAGGAGGCTGAGGCACGAGAATTGCTTGAGTCCAGAAAGGAGGAGGTTGCAGCGAGCTGAGATCGCATCACTGAACTCCAGCCTGGGCAACAGAGTGTGACTTTGTCTCAAAAAAAAAAAAAGGAAAAGAAAAAACAAAGAAGAAGAGCCAAAACACAGTTCTGCAGACTGACAACCTCACAGTGTCTGAGGACTTCTGGAGGTCCTATATCCTAACCAGTTCACTTAACCCACCCAAATGTTGCTCCAAGAGCTCAGGGCCAATATCTGACAAAAATGTTTACCTAAGAATGTCTTCTTTTTTTTTTGAGTCAGAGTCTTGCTCTGTCACCCAGGCTGGAGTGCAGTGGCGAGATCTCAGCTCACTGAAACTTTTGCCTCCAGGGTTCAAGCAATTGTCGTGCCTTGGTCTCCAGATACCTGCAATTACAGGCACTTGCCACCATGCCCAGCTAATTTTTGTATTTTTAGTAGAGACGGGGTTTCACCATGTTGGCCAGGCTGGTCTCGAACTCCTGGTCTCAAGTGATCCACTCACCTCGCCCTCCCAAAGTGCTGGGATTACAGGCGTGAACCACTGTGCCTGGCCTTATTATTCTTCTCTAATGGAACATGCAGCTATGACTGTGAGAAGGAAAGAGAGGGGAAAATGACTGGGAAGAAGCATTCCAGTTAGAACCCGAAATGGGGCCGGGCACGGTGGCTCTCGCCTGTAAGCCCAGCACTTTGGAAGGCCGAGGTGGGTGGATCACCTGGGGTCAGGAGTTCAAGACCAATCTGGCCAACATGCTGAAAGCCCCCCTCTCTACAAGACTACAAAAATTATGTGGGCATCATGGCAGGTGCCTGTAATCCCAGCCACTCATGAGGCTGAGGCGGGAGAATCGCTTGAACCCGGGAGGTGGAGATTGCAGTGAGCCGAGATCTTGCCATCTTGCTGCTGCACTCCAGACTGGGTGACAGAGCGAGACTCTGCCTCAAAAACAAAAACAAAAACAAAACAAAACAAACAAACAAACAAACAGAAAAACCTGAAATGGAAATGAAGTTCTTGATAAAGAGGAGCACTGTAACTGTAACAGGATTAATGAAATCTGACACCCTCAAGACTATCATTTTGGGAAAGAATCCTAAGCTAAGAGACCAAGCATTAAAAATAAAACTTAACAAAACCAAAATGACTCTTTTAGGGGAGTGAATAGAAAAGAATAATTTGGAGACATAAACCTTCTCTAATTTAAAAAAAATGTCGATAGCATCCATTTTCAGAGCTCTTTTTATTTATAAAAAATAAAACAAAAAAAGGATTCGAAAATGGCCAGATCAGCGATCATTTTAGCCTAGGCATCTTTCTTTGCTGCAGATTTGATAAGTACACTTATTCATTTTGGTAGCTATTTTATCGATTCACTCATTCACTTAATAAAGATCATGGAGAGCCAAATAGTGCACTGGGTGCAAGGACTAGGTATGAAAAGGCAATTTTGGCCAGGTGCAGTGGCTCACGCCTGTAATCTCAGCACCTTAGGAGGCCAAGGCGGGCGGATAACTTGAGATCAGGAGTTCAAGACCAGCCTGGCCAACATGTTGAAACCCCGTGTCTACCAAAAATATAAAAAATTAGCCGGGTGTGGTGGCATGCGCCTGTAATCCGAGCTACTCAGGAGGCTGAGGCAGGAGAATTGCCTGAACCCAGGAGGCGGAGGTTGCAGTGAGCCGAGATCCCACCAATGCACTCCAGGCTGGGCGACAGAGCGAGACTCACTCCATCTCAAAAAGAGAGGCAATCTCTTCTCTCAAGAGGAGGGGTAAGAAAATGGGCACTTAAAGAGCTGGCTGCTAAAACGGATGTATGTAAATTAAGTACCTGAGACTGTTGGAAGAATCAAGCCAGAGGAGGGAGGTTTATGAACAATCATTGCAACCTGATTCCAACTTCGAATTAAAACAGAATTTTTTTAAAGTTTCATGGTAATTTTAAAAATCATAGTTATAAGTAGTTCCATGTTTTTTTCTGTTTTCAAAGTAAATTTTGGGCTTAGGCTAAAGCTGTCACAGATATATGTATTAATAATGTCTACTGCCACAATAAATTACTTTCCAGCATCTTGTTTATATTTCCCTGTTTGGGGATAATTAATTTTTTAATAGCTTCATAAGCTATGAATTACAACTCATTGACTATTGCTTTACAATGATCACAACCCAAACACATAACATTTATCTTTCATTAATGTTTTGTAATAATTATGTTGATTTTTCTTTTCTTTTTGATCTTTAGTTACAAGAAGAGGTACACTGAAATAAGCCAGTTGCTTTAGAGATACTGTAGAGAAGTTTTAAACCACAGAGATAGTCACTAAAAATTAGGATGTTTTGATTCATTGTGGGAAGTACTTGTAACTAATTTATAAGTTTCTTGCATATGACTATCTTAATACAATATTGTACTGGGAATATAAATGGTTCATTTCCTTATAACCGCATTTTGGGGGATCTAACCAATAGTTTGAACTTTCCAAGATTCTCTTAAATTTTAGTGGAATGGATGGTACAGATAAAGAATTATTTTTAATGAGCTCACCTGTATAATTTATCTATGTCAGCATTTGCTTAGTTTTCTAAGTGAATTTAAACTTGCCAAAAATTATATTACATGCCATATACAGTTTTGAAAGAAAAAAGAAAAGCAAACAATTCGAACTTTTCTTTGGGAAAACTTAGTGACTTGTGGACTGGGGATTCTCTAGAGACTCATATTTTGATTTGAGGCAAGTCAGTTAACATCCAGTGACCTATACAACACCAAAGTGGAAGAAGCAATGCAGGCCTATTTTTAAAAGTGGCTTTAGGATCAAATAAAAAAATACAGAAAAGTACTGAGAGATGCTATGCTGTGGTAAATAATGCAATAGAAAAATAATTGCCAGGCTGGGTGCAGTGGCTTAATTCTGTAATCCCAGCACTTTGGGAGGCCGAGACGGGTGGATCACTTGAGATCAGGAGTTCGAGACCAACGTGGCCAACATGGCAAAACCCCGTCTGTACCAAAAATACAAAAATCAGCTGGGCATGGTGGCACGTGCCTGTAATCCGAGCTACTTGGGAGGCTGAGGCAGGAGAATCATTTGAACCTGGGAGGTGGAGGTTGCAGTGAGCCAAGATTGTGTCACTGCACTCCAGCCTGGGCGACAGCGTGAGACTCTGTGTCAAAAAAAGAAAACGAAAAAGAAAAAGAATTGCCAAATAACCACTGGAAAGACTGTTAACTGATTCGAATCACCTACCTACATTGACCTCACTTCCTACGTAGGTCTCGGATCTGCAGTCCATTAATTAATTCAGTAAAAATTTAGAGAGCCCTGCGTCTATCTACGGCTATGACAGCTGTTACTGCACATTTGGCTCACATCCCTCAACAACAACCATGATTCCCCTGTGAATCCCCGCATCATGAAACCACGCCATATAGCCTGTATTTCTAAGTTGGTTATCCAGGTAGTCTTTAAACACATCTAAAATCATGCGAGATAAGCGAAAAACGGAAACTAGAATAAAGATCTTCAAACTGGGCTCCGTGTAATCACAGGTTTACTTTGTGGAGGAAGGAATCACTGTGGGTATATTCAGTTTGTATTTGTATCATCCCTACCAGGCCACAATCTGAAATTTGTAATTCTTTTTAAATAAACTATCAGCAGAAGAATCTCAAACACTTTGAGTCTGAAAATTACCAAGTTTAAAAATTCTTAAAGCAGTGTATTTTCCCATAATAATAGTCTAATATAAACAACGCCTATGAATTACAGAAAGAAATGCAGAGAGCATTTTTATGAATGAAGTGGTGGTTCTTAGTAACTGAAATGCAGGTAACTTCTGTAAAAACCAAAGATAAAACTATGGACCATTAATTCCAGTGACCTCACTTTTTTAAACTTTTGTTTTACAGCCTTTTGTAAATATTCCCTAAAATAAATAATCAAAGCATTTCATAAACACAAAAGTATGATTTCAATCATGTACAGTCTATAGTAAACCTCTACATGATGGTCTTGCATCATTATTCAAAGTATATTTGCTAACTTCCTACCTATTACCCCTTTAACACAAATGAAAGATACCAGAAGGTGGTGATCTGGCTTTCAACTCCAGACAAAGAAGCCAGACGTGGACTCTGCCCCTGGACAGCTGCGTGCTCTTGGGCTGGCTGCCCACAGTTCTGAACCAGTTTCCTCTTCTGTAAAAAGGGAATAATATTACCTACCTCGTCAAATAATAGTGAAAATGAAAAGAGATCTCGTACATCAGGGGCCTAATAATACAAGGCCTGCCAGACAGTAGGCCCCTCTAATCCTTTGGCTCAGCAAGCCCTCCCACAATGATTCCAGAGAAAACACAGGCCTGCAGACAGAACCCTGTTTGGACTCCCTCCTCAAACCTTCAAATCCTCACCCCGCTTCCCACCCTCCTGCAAAGGCAGAGAGGTACCTCCTTAGGCGTAAAGCTTCCTCAGCAGCTCAGGGACTTCGCTCCCGGATATCCCCCAGTGAGGGGATAATTTGCATTCTGCATTTTCTTTACCCTCCTTGGCCTGGATCCTTCTTTTTAGCATTAAACACATTCTAGTTTCTTGCTTTGAAAAAGAAAGGAAACATCTTTGACTCCACCTCCAGGACAGTCCTATCTTTTGCCTCCACTCCAAGGCCACATTTAAAAAAAAAAACTTGCTTGCACTGACTGGGTCTGGGTCTGGGCCCCACCTCCCACTCACTCCTCCGTTTACTTTAATTTGGCTCTGACTGGATCAAAGCCAAGGAATGTTTGTTAGTAAATCACCGATGATTTCCCTGTTGCTCCTTTCAGTGGCCACTTTTTGGTTCTTACAGTATGAGGGGTAGGGGCACTACTGACTGCTCCCTCTGAGAAACCCAGCCCTCAAGTCCACGTATTTGTGACACCCTTGTATCCTGTCTTTCCCTAGTATCTTTTGAGGGTTTCTCTTTCTCTGGCAGTTCCCCAAATGTTGGTCTTTCTCTCTCTCTCTCTCTTTTTCTTATTTCTCCCTCCCTTCCAGGTCTTTCTCAAGGCCCACTGAAGGGCTCTTTTCTTCTCTTCTTCAACATTCTTATCCTCGTGTGTCCACCCATTTTCAGAGTGTCAGGAAATGAGGTAACCCTATGTCCCTATTTGCCCCAAACAGTTCTGGTTTCTGCCTGTTTCCCCAGAATGATTAGTAGCACCCCAAACCCTTAAGAGTCCTGGTTTGGATGGTTACAACGGACCATCCCCTTATCAATTCCCATTTGTATGCAGATGACTGAGAATTGGGGCAATAAAGCACACTGGCTGAGAGGGAGGGGCTCTGGGGTTGGCCCCCTGGGTTTGATCCTGCTCCACTGCTTACTAGCCCTTGAGTCCCTGGGCCTATTAAGCAACCCCTCTGCCCTGAAGAAACCTCATCAATAAAATGGGAACAATATTACTGCAGTTTTCCTAACAAGTGAGGGTTAAATGAACACATGTAAAGTTATTAGCATGACACCGCCACATTTCTAAGTGCTCAGTGAATGTAGCTATTATCTTTGTCTCTAGCCCAGACCTGTCTCCTGAGTTTCAGACATATTCAGGTAGAGAGAATAAAGTTATCTGGGGTTGGAGGGGTAGGAGGTAGGAAAAGCAGTCTATGCAGGCCCCTATCACTTCCCAATTCTCTCTCTTTTTTTTTTTTTTTTTTTTTTGAGATGGAGTTTTGCTCTTGTTGCCCAGGCTGGAGTGCAATGGCGTGATCTCAGCTCACCGCAACATCTGCCTCCCAGGTTCAAGCGATTCTCCTGCCTCAGCCTCCCAAGTAGCTGGAATTACAGGCACGTGCTACCACGCCCGGCTAATTTTTTTGTATTTTTAGTAGAGACGGGGATTCTCCATGTTGGTCAGGCTGGTCTCGAACTCCTGACCTCAGGTGATCCACCCTCCTCGGCCTCCCAAAGTGCTGGGATTACAGGCGTGAGCCACCACGCCCGGGCGTTTTTTTTTTTTTTTTTTTTAATTTTTTTTTTAAGAGATAGAGTCTCACTCTGTCACCCAGGCTGGAGTGCCATGGTGCGATCATGGCTCACTGCAGCCTTTATCTCCCAGGTTTAAGAGATCCTTCTGCCTCAGCCTGCCAAGTAGTTGGGACCACAAGTGTGCATCCCATGCCCAGCTAATTTTTTAAAATTTTTTGTGGAGACAGGCTCTTGCTTTGTGGCCCAGTCTGGTCTTGAACTCCTGGTTTCAAGTAAACCTCCTGCCTTGGCCTCCCAAAGTGCTGGGATTACAGCCATAAGCCACCATGCCCAGCCACTTCCCACTTCTCTAGACACTCATTTATCTTCCCATCAAACTGTGGCTGAATTTCTCAAATAATTGTCTTGTGACCTTTGAACAGTCTCCCTAAATGTAAATATTGCATTGACCAACAATGGGAATGATGGCAGCACATTCTCACCAGGCAATTTCAGAGAGCTGCTGTATAATTTTTCTTGAAGCACTGGCTGGGAATACATAATTGGGTGGAAATATACTTTGCTTCTGAAATGTGTGGATAAAGTCATTTTTATTTTTGATGACTGGTTTTGTTTTAATTGTGAAGAAATCCTTAGGTTGATCTGTATCCTGGCAATCATTTAAAAATTTTCATGTTGGCGGGGCGTGGTGGCTCACCACCTGTAATCCCAGCACTCTGGGAAGCTTAGGCAGGAGGATCACTTGGCCCAGGAATTCAAGACCAACCTGGACAACATGGTGATATCCCTTTCTTAAAAAAAAAAAAAAAAAAAAAAAGAATTTTGATGTCTAACAAATATTGGAAACAATATATATATTTTGAAGATATAGCTTAGGGAGGAGGGGAATGTTGCAATATATATTTTGGGAAGCTGAGCACAGTGATCAATGTCACATTTGTTTTCAGTTTTATGGTTAAATATTTTACTTTCCCCCAATTTTTCTTAGTCCTTAAAAAGTGTGTCTTTGATTAAAACATTATTTTTTAATTGGTATAGTTTTAATTTTATATGTTTTCTTACATAAAACTTCATCATCTAGGTTTTAAAGTTTCAAATTCATTTAATATGTTAGAATAATTCCAACATTTTGCATTCTGTAAACTTTTTATGTCTTGGGATATGATCCTTTCTTCTTGGGATCTTCTGAAAGCCCGCAGGGAACCATAGGGTTTGTATAAGCCCAGAGGGCCTTTTCTCATGTCTTTATGTTTGTCTCTGTGACTCACCTTTGAATGTTCCCCAACCCTTTCCTGTTACTGAAATTCTGCTCCTTCATTAAGACTCACGTTAAAAGACAATTTTGTCAGAGAGCCTTCCCTACTCTCCTAGATAGAAAAATCTCTCCTTCCTCTGAGGGATGCCTCTACTTAACCTTTGGTTCTGTTTTGTTCTATAATTAACTGCCCATGTGCCATTCTATCCCACTCTATGCTAGTTCTGGATGGCAGAAGTGGGTCTCACCCATCCTTGTACCCCTCAGGGCCCAGTGCCTGTGCCTAGTAATCATCGGCACTCACTGAGCACTCACTTTGTGCCAGGCCTATTCCATTCTCACAACCCGGTGAAGGAGGAAGTATTATTATCTCCATTTTATAGATAAGTAAACTGAGGCATGGAGAGGTTATATAAATTGCCTAAGGTTGGCTGGGCATAGTGGCTCACGCCTGTAATCCCAGCACTTTGGGAGGCCGAGGTGGGTGGATCACCTGAGGTCAGGAGTTTGAGACCAGCCTGATCAACATGGTGAAACCCAGTCTCTACTAAAAATACAAAAATTAGCCTGGTGTCATGGCACACACCTGTAATCCCAGCTATTCAGGAGGCCGAGGCAAGAGAATTGCTTGAACCCGGGAGGCAGAGGTTGCAGTGAGCCAAGATCGCGCCACTGCACTCCAGCTTGGACAATAGAATGAGACTCTGTCTCAAAAAATAAATTAAAAATAAATAAATAAATTGCCTAAGGTTGCCCAGCTAGTAAATGGCAGAACTATTCTTTTGACAATGTATCTTCTTCTTCTTCTTCTTTTTTTTTTTTTTTTTTTTTTGAGGCAGTGTCTCCCTTGGTCACCTGGGAGTACAGGGGCATGATCACGGCTCACTGCAGCTTCAACCTCCCAGGCTCAATCAATCCTCCCTCCTCAGCCTCCTAGGTAGTTGGGACTTTAGGCTCATGCCACCACACCCATTATTGACAGTGAATCTTCTGAATAATTAGATAAGCTTAAGGTTTCCTTTTGTTTCTTTAGGAAGAAGTATGGCTCCAAAGCCTGAGCTTTTAATCTCAGCTATAAATACTTGTTTAAATTAAGAAGAAAAAAAATCATATTATCTAGAAAGAAATATTTGCATGTAGCTTTCCTTGTTATTCTCTGTTGAAAAACAAAACAATATTTTGTGCACAGCTTTAAATTTTTCCATGAGAAAACAAAGCAGGTGTGAAATAACTTAGTTCGATTTTCATCACTCTGTTAGCTAGTCTTCTTAAAAGCCGATGGAAAACCCAGTGCTGCACTAAAGCTATATTTGTGTTTCAAATGTTTAGGCTTATGCTGACTACTCTAGATTCCAACCAGTGGCTGAATTAAAAGTTCCCATGGATGAAAAACAAGGGCGATTGGAGAGCTAATAATGACGAGTGCTTTCAACTGATGAACAGGTTGGATTGTGACAATTCTGCTCCAGGACTAGCTACAAAAGTCCATTTACTCAGTAACAGGAATCTAGGGTTGAGTCAGCAGGCCTGGATTTCTTCCACCTCTAATGCTTACTTTATCTTTGTGCTACTTAGTTTTTTACTTCTTAAATGGGGGAAATAGCACCTATGCTCCTCTGAAGGGATTACCCAAAAGAGTTTTAAAAATGGACATTATTTTATTATTGTTGCTATCATTATTGTTACCATTTTTGTAGTATTTAAATTCTATGTGTAATAGTGTTTCTATGGAAAAAGAAACTTTTTTATTTTTGTTTTTTGAGATAGAGTCTCACTCTGTTGCCCAGGCTGGAGTGCAGTGGTGCAATCTTGGCTCGCTACATCCCCTGTCTCATGGGCTAAAGTGATTCTCCTGCCTCAGTCTCCGGAATAGCTGGGATCACAGGCATTTGCCACCATGCCCAGATAATTGTTCTATTTTTAGTAGAGGCGGAGTTTCACCGTGTTGGCCAGGCTGGTCTCGAACTCCTGACCTCAGGTGATCCACCCACCTAGGCCTCCCAAAGTGCTGGGATTACAGGCCTGAGTCACCTTTTTCCACAGGCGGCCGATCTATGGAAAACATTTTTTGAATTTAAAAATGAGAGCAAGTCTCAGCCAGGTAGAGTGGCTCACACCTGAAATCCCAACACTTTGGGAGGCCAAGGAGGGACGATTGCTTGAGACCAGGAGTTCAAGCCCACCCTGGGCAATAAAGCTACACCTCTGTCTCTAAAAAAAAAAAAAAAAAAGAAAAAAAATTAAAAATGATCAGGATGTGGTGGCGCATGTCTGTAGTCCCAGCTACTCAGGAGGAGGCTGAGGTGGAAGGATACCTTGCACCCAGGAGTTTGTGGCTGCAGTGAGTCGTGATGGCACCACTGCGCTCCAGCCTGGATGACAGAGCAAGACACTGTCTCTGCCTTGGCTTTTACTCACACTATGTTGTAGAGGATTCTGGAAACTTGAGTTCCCACTGCTTTGCCTGTTGGCAGTGCAACTGAGGACTTGCCAGTTTCAAGCTCTACGGCTTGGAGCGGAAGAAAGGACAAGCAAGGTCCAGGGACTAAGGAAGCTGAGGAACAAGAATCTTGTGCTGGTGAAATGAATGTCATACTGCCTATGCACACCGACTAACTTCTCACATTAGGCCTTTCCCCAGGCCATGGTTTTCCCCACTTCAGTGCCAACAACGGACCTAGGGGTTTTTCTCCCTGCTGCCGTGTCCAGCCGAGCTCTCGCTTCTCTCTTCTCCTCCAGCTCCAAAAATAAGTCAACAGCTCTGCACTGCCTACCTTAGAGTTAATTGTGGAAATCAAATGAAATGCTGTGTAAACTCTACAGATGTTCGCTGCTATTGTTATTCTGAGCCACCTTAGCATATCTGGAAAGTGGGCTTAGTGGTTAAGGGAGATTTCCAGTTAAATGAAGCATTTAACTTATTATTTAGCAACATTAATTATTTAGTGGCATTATTTAGCATACCCTCCAAAAAGTATTTACATGTTTTACCAGTTTATCTCTTTATTCTTCTTAAGAACTCTAAGAAGGGCGCGGTAGCTCATGCCTGTAATCCCAACACTTTGGGAGGCCAAGACGGTCGGATCACCTGAGGTCTGGAGTTCAAGATCAGCCTGGCCAACATGGTGAAACCCTGTCTCTAGTAAAAATATAAAAATTAGCTGGGAGTGGTGTCGCGTGCCTGTAATCCCAGCTACTTGGGAGGCTGAGGCACAAGAATTGCTTGAACTTGGGAGGCGGAGGTTGCGGTGAGCAGAGATAGCACCACTGCACTCCAGCCTGAGCAGCAGAGTGAGACTCCATCACAAAAAAACAAAAACAAAAACAACCTAAGAAATTATTTTCTTTCTTTCTTTCCTTTTCTTTTCTCTCTTTCTCTTTCTTCTTTCTTTCTTTCTTTCTTTCTTTCTTTCTTTCTTTCTTTCTTTCTCTTTCTTTCTTTTTCTTTCTTTCTTTCTTTCTTTTTTTTTCTTCTTTCTCTGTCTCTCTCTCTCTCTCTGTTTCTTTCTTGTCTCACTCTGTTGCCCAAGTTGGAATTCAGTGGCGAAATCATGGCTCACTGCAGCAACTCTGCAGGCTCAATCAATCCTCCCACTTCAGCCTCCCTAGTAGCTGGGACTACAGGCCTGTGCCACCATGCCTGGCTAATTTTTATAGTTTTTTTTAGAGACAGGGTTTCATCATGTTGTCCAGGCTGGTCTTGAACTTAGACTCAAATAATCCACCTGCCTCAGCCTTCCAAAGTGCTTGGATTACGGGTGTGGGCCACCGCACCTGGACTACATATTCTAATTTTCTCCATTTTATACTTTTAAAAATTAAGGCTAAAAGATTGAGTAATCTGCCCAAGGTCATCCATTTTATAAGAAGTAGTGCTGGAAGTAAAACCTGATGCCAAGCCTTTGTGGTCAACCACAACATACAAGATTGCAGACAACAGATGCCTCACGTCCCTTCTCCAGTTCACAACTAAATTGGCTGTTTTCTTTCACTGTCCATTTTAATAAATTTACAAGTTTATCAATCACTAATATTTTTGTTATTGCCAAGCACCAGTTGTCTCTTTAGTGTTACATGGGGTGGGCTGAAGGAGGCTAGGGTGCTGATTCCTGTCTACAGTAAGTGCCCAAAAAATGATGGTCTCAAGAAAGGCTGGTCAGAAATGCCAACTTAAAGTTTCAGATAAAATGGAAAAACTGAAAAGTACTTACTCATTAAAGTAACTGGTGATTTTTAAGCATCTCTCTCAGTTGATTCTAGATCTCGTCCCTAGATAGCTTTCTTCCTCTCCTGTAGATCATTGTGACCAGACGGGAGATCTCAGAGCTTGGGCTATAGGGGAAATAGGTTAGCCTCTGGGTGCTGCTGTGCTTGCAAGCCAGCGTCTGGGGAGAAGATGACATTTCCGGTGGCATCTGGGGCAAACGACACAAGTCAGCATTTAGTTTCTTGCTTTAGGAAGCGGAAGACTAATGACCGAAGCTTCAAGACTTTGACATGTGTGAAAACATGAAATGGTAAGTCAATACAAAGACAGCATCTTCCTGGAATTTGGTTTTGAGCTTGTTTTCATTTCACCTTTCTCAGTAATCTGGGTGTAGCTTATTTTGACTCTTCCTTTGATTAAACAATTCAGACCCTTGGCTCTTATTGTTCTTGCTGGTGTGGTATGTTCACGGCTGAAAAGATGGTCAGAAGGGGAAAGGAGGAAGTGAGAAGAAAGAAACAGGGAAATGGTAAGAAGAACTCTACTTTTCTAAATAATATTTAATAGTAGTAATCTTGTGTTTCTGTGCAAGGTGTTACAGTTTACAAACCGCTTTTATTTTTATTTATTTATTTTTTTTGAGACGGAGTTTTGGTCTTGTTGCCCAGGCTGGAGTGCAGTGGCATGGTCTCGGCTCATTGCAACCTCTGCCTCCCAGGTTCAAGCGATTCTCCTGCTTCAGGCTCCGAGTAGCTGTGACTACATGCACCCACCACCACACCCGGCTGATTTTGTATTTTTAGTAGAGATGGTGTTTCACCATGTTGGCCAGTCTGGTCTCGAACTCCTTACCTCAGGTGATCCACCCGCCTTGGCCTCCCAAAGTGCTGGGATTATAGGGGTGAGCCACCATGGCAGGCCACAAACCGCTTTTAAATCCTTTCACTTCATCTCTCCACTGACGTCTTGATGGAAAAATGGCTCAGTCCACACTACAGGAAACCACAGGCCTGAGCCCCAGCCTCAGCTAGATCCAGTATGTGGCAGAGCAAGATAAGAACTTTCTGCTTCCTCCCTTAGTGTTCCACTTGAAACCAGCAGGTAACTCAAGGGGACAGCGTGCTTAAAAGGGAGATGGTTCGTCTGGCGCTGTGGCTCATGCCTGTAATCCCAGCACTTTGGGAGGCCGAGGCGGGTGGATCACCTGAGGTCAGGAGTTCGAGACCAGCCTGGCCAACATGGTGCAACTCCGTCTCTACTGAAAATACAAAAATTAGCTGGGCGTGGTGGTGGGCCCCTGTAATCCCAGCTACTCGGGGGGCTGAGGCAGGAGAATCGCTTGAACCCAGGAGGCGGAGGTTGCAGTGAGCCAAAATCGTCCCATTGCACTCCAGTCAGGGTGACAAGAGCAAGACTCCATCTTTAAAAAAAAAAAAAGGGTGGGGGAGATGGTCTTCTGATTGATTAGATAAGTGTAGGCATTTGTTTTCTTTTGTCTGGAATAATATGATTTCGGGGAGAGGAATATCACTTTCCCTACAAATACCAAGATGAAAAAGAAAAGGAAATAATGAATCAGAAAAAAAAGAGAGAGAGAAAATGCATGACTACAGAAGGTCCCAGTGCATGACTACAGAAGATCAGAATATACCACCCCCAGGTTCCCGTAATCCCAGGTCCTTGGGAGGCTGAGGCAGGAGAATCGCTTCAACCCAGGAGGCGTAGGTTGCAGCAAGCCGAGATTGCGCCACTGCACCTCAGCCTGGGCAACAGCGAGACTCCATCTCAAAAATAAAAAATATGCCACCCCAAAATATAGTTATTTGGCATATTTCGAGCTGATTATTCTGAGCAACTGCAGACACAAGAGTATCTCTGAAAAGCTGTCCTTTTGTAAAATAAATTTATATTTATAAAAGAAATCTACATTAGTCAAAGTATCTGTATCAGGAAGAGTCCTGCTCTCAGACAACTTTTATTACCTGGGGGATTCCAGTGTGTGTGCATATAATTAAAAATGTTTTTTCCTTTTCTTTTCTTTTTTTTTGAATTGAGATTTGGTCTCAATATGTTGCCCAGGCTGGTCTTGAACTCGTGGGCTCAAGTGATCCTCCCACCTCAGCTTCCCAAAGTGCTGGGATCACAGGCATGAGCCACCGAGCCTGGCCAAAAATGTTTTTTTCTCCTGTTAATCTGTTTTATGTCAATTTAATTTGTATCCCAGCCAAAGAACCTAGAAGTAGGGAGGAAGCCATTTTCCCTCCCTTACAGCACAAAATAACTAACCAACAAGAGTAAGAGGTTTCACAACAGTCCTGAATTACATGCTCTGAAGACTTAGCTTTTTTTAATAGTATGCTATTTATGTAAACTGGATTATAATGTGACATAATTGTCTTTCCTTGAAAAATATCATTTTACTTTACATCACTGTCTATTCAGTGTGTGGCTTAAAATTAATTCCATACCTTATGCATTGTTTTCATCCTCTATGGCCATCAATAAAGTTATCTTGCAGTTCCCCATGAGTTTTAGTACAGTCATTACCGGGAAATTTAATAGAATCAAGGCAGAACCCAACTGATAGCTTTAGTATTTTATAATCCAGAGTAGTCTATTACATAACTTTGAAAAATCTGCCATTATTTAGTTCTAGCAATTCTATAAATGAATTGCAAATCTTTCTAGTTCTGTAGATTTCAGCTAGTCTGTGCACTGTGAGAATAAAAGGACAATCTCTGTAATCATCCCAAGACCAGAGAACAGAAGAGCTGTAATAATGCAAATGATAATCACACTTATACTCTTTAAACTTAAAATAAAGTTGAGATCAACAGATTTTCAACTGATTTTCTTGCTTTCAAGAACTTATTATGCTCTATGTAGACAGCTACTATTGCTATTCTGGCCCTATCTCATGTTTCAAAGCTCAGTGAGCCATCTTTTATTTTTTACCCACCAAACTTGGCTTTTTCTTAAACAGTAATGACAACTTATGCACATATAATGTTTTACCCTGTGAATGTGCTTTCACACACAGATATCCTTTACTATTAGCAGCTCATTAGTAGTTATAGCCACAGAGAAATTTAAACTTTGCTTTATGCAAGCCATTACCATTTTATCCACATTTTCTATCTTAAGGAACGCAATTATTTTTCTTATCTTCTTGGGAATCCTATAAGAGGGCCAGAAATCAGCCCATTAAATATATACATATATATACATTAATTTCAGCTGGCTCGTGTGTGTATGTGTTTAAATCTATTCCTGGGCTGCCTTAAACGAATGGGCCAAATTTGGCAAATCACAAAACTATGTTTTTTTCTTTGGTTGTCTGACTTAAACAGTCCACATATTTTTGATAATTTCTCTTCAAAGCACTCACAATTAGTACTTTCAAGCACATATGAATAATGAATAATTTGTTTCTATTAGGGTACGAAATCTTCTCTGATAACATATTAGGAACTTTGAGATTCTGGATTAAAACTTCTCATGAGTTCGATTTAGTAACAGAACTAAATTTTGCACGAAGTATGTGCAAACTTTGTGTTGATGAACAAGGCAATACTTATTGGGATTTGGGATGTTACAGATTGAGAAAAGCCAAATCAGTGATTTCACTATTCAGGATGGATGGAATGAGAAATGTGAATTTATAAAAGATCCCATTCTGTCAGGATTTCTTAAACATTTCCACAAAATTCTTAGAATTCTTATGTTTTATGCAAGTTCTGTATTCTGTTCCAATGCAGCCTAGTGGTTCAGAACATGGCCTTTGCAGGCAGAAAAGCCTGAGTTCAGAGTCCCAAATTAATAATCCACAAGCTGTGTGACTTTGGGAAAGGTACTCAACTCCTCTGGCCCACTTCCAGTTGTGAAGTTTAAACCTGCAAAGTGCTAAGCAGACTGCTTGGTACTTAGTAAATGCTCATTTTTGTTCCAGGGATTAGTATACATGCATCCATGCTTTAGTAATGCAAAATAATTCTTTAAATGACTAACCACTGGAAAAAAACGTAAATACTGACAAGTACCTTGTTTGATGGGCACTGTTCCATGGGCTGGTATGACACCATCACTGCAGGAATAGACTGCGCAAGTGGAGGGGAGATGACAGAAATCATCGTTAGGTCAAGTTGAAGCTCGGGGAGATTGAGCAACTGTCTGAATCACACAGGTTAACTACTGAGCTTGGACTAAAGACCAGGCTTCCTGGGTCCTGGACTCATAGTTCCAGAGCTATAGTTCATGAATTTTTTTCTCTAAGGCTGTAAGCTCTTTTTACAGAGAATAATTTAATGCCCTGCAAGAACTGGGTCTTACATTATTTAGCAATGTCCCTTACCTTTAAACCACAGGCTTAGTTTTCCAATTCCGGTCCTCTCTCCTTTTTTCTTTTTGTTTTTTGAGACAGAGTCTCTTGCTCTGTCACCTATGCTGGAGTGCAGTGGCATGATCTCAGCTCACTGAAACCTCCACCTCCGGGCTCAAGTGATCCTCACACCTCAGTCTCCCACCTACCCCCAGTAGCTGGGACCACAGGAGTGAGCCACCATGCCCTGCTAGTTTTTTGTATTTTTGGTAGAGATTGGGTTTTTTTTTTTTTTTTTTTTGAGACGGAGTCTCGCTCTGTCTCCCAGGCTGGAGTACAGTGGCACGATCTCGGCTCACTGCAAGCTCCGCCTCCCGGGTTCACGCCATTCTCCTGCCTCAGCCTCCCAAGTAGCTGGGACTACAGGCGCCCGCCACTACGCCCGGCTAATTTTTTGTATTTTTAGTAGAGACGGGGTTTCACCGTTTTAGCCGGGATGGTCTCGATCTCCTGACCTCGTGATCCGCCCGCCTCGGCCTCCCAAAGTGCTGGGATTACAGGCGTGAGCCACCGTGCCCAGCCGAGAGATTGGGTTTTACCTTGTTGCCCAGGCTGGCTTTGAACTTCTGGGCTCAAGTGATCCACCCGCCTCAGCCTCCCAAAGTGCTGGAATTACAGGCCTGAGCCACTGCGCCCAGTTTTTTTTTTTTTTTTTTTTTTTTGAGACAGAGTCTCACTCTGTTGCCCATAGTAGAGTGCAGTGGTGCGATCTTGGCTCATTGCAACCTCTGCCTCCCAGGTTCAAGCAGTTCTCCTGCCTCAGCCTCCTGAGTAGCTGGGATTATAGCCATGTGCCACTACACCTGGCTCCTTTTTTTTTTTTTAAAGTAGAGTTGGGGTTTCACCATGTTGGCCAGGCTGGTCTTGAACTCCTGGCCTCAAGTGATCCACATGCCTCAGCCTCCCAAAGTGCTGGGATTACAGGCGTGAGTCACCGCACCTGGCCATAAGGTTGTTTTGTCAAGGAAGATAGAAACAGCTTAATATTTTTGGATGTGTGCTGTTCTTCCTTTCTTACTTTATTAGATAAACATCCATCGAGTGCTCCTTCGGTCAGGCACAGTGCTTAGCACCTGAGATATGAGGTTGAGTAGGATATGGTCTTCTCTATGTTCTGTAGCTCACAGTGCAGGGAGGGAAAAACACAGAAGCAGATAACTAGAATTCAATGTTGGGAGTGCATTTATGGCTTTATGTTAGAGTATCACTTCTATTACTGAAAAGGGATTTTTAAAATTCTACTGAAAACATGAAAATGAAAATAGCGCCATGAAAAGTAGCTTCTAGTCATATTCTTTTATGATGAATATTTGCTTTGCATATACGATTGGCCCATATTGCATCATTTGTTTTATAAATTAATCGTATATCACTATTCCATTTTACCGGTAAAATAGTAGGCTTTTAAGTATTTTTCCCAATTATCACTTACAAAAATATTGTTACAGCTTACTTTTTTTGACCTTCCTTTTTCTTTTAGGGTGCTCTTTTCCTTAACATAGTTTGTTGTTGTGTCTCTGAAATATATTTATTTATTATTATTACTTTTTTCAGACAGAGTGTTGCTCAGTTACCCAGGCTGGAGTGCAATGGCATGATCTTGGCTCACTGCAGCCTCCACCTCCTGGGTTCAAGCGGTTCTCGTGCCTCAGTCTCCCAAGTAGCTGGGATTACAGGTATGCACCACCATGCCCAGCCAATTTTGTATTTTTAGTAGAGGCAGGGTTTCACCATGTTGGCTAAGCTGGTCTTGAACTCCTGACCTCAGGTGATCTACCTGCTTCAGCCTCTCAGAGTGCTGGGATTACAGGCATGAGCCACCAAGCCCGGCCTGAAATACATTTAAATAAATGAAGATGGAGAATCAGACATTACTTTCATTTATCTGAATCTGGTGTAGTTTAATTAATCTGTAATTGTAAGTCTTTGAATCATATGTCAATATTCTATTTTGTTAGTCATGATTTCTAAGTGTTACATAACTGTGGCCCCAGCCACTTTATATTTTGGTATCATGACAGAAGACTCTGATTGTGGTTATTTTCTACCTATGCATTTATTCTTAGTGATATATGTTGGTTAAATTATGGCATAGTTTTAAAATACATGACAAAAATAGCTAACAGTAAAGAAATGTCTTTGTTTCTGGTTGAATAAACTGACCACGCAAGGTTCCAATTTAAAATAAATTCTAAACGAATCATGTTATTTTCCAAAACTGTTCCTCCTCTCAGTAAATGAAATCAATATCCACCCGGTTACCCCAAGACAGAAATCTCAAGATCATCTGTGACTCCTTCCTCTTCATCTGCCACAAGAAGAGTAGCTTCTATCTCCAAAGCTAGTCTCTGATCAGTCTACTTCTCTTCCTATAGCCTCTGCTTTAGTTCAAATCTAGAATCCTGCTGTGGTGGTGCTGTGGCTTCCAAGTTCATCTTCTTCCAATCCGTTCTCTAAACTACAGTCTTGCTCTTTCTAAGACTCAGATCTTATAATTTTACTTCCCTTCATAGGTTGAATTTAACCTGCTAAATCACATAAAATTTTTCTGAAGATACCAGCCTTTCTGCCTTAATCAAACACATTAGCCAAATCCATAGCATTACTGGGATAAAGCCTGAAGATCCCAAATTGATAAGGCATCTGGATTCCCTTTGATAACAGTATTCAATAACAATGAACACCTACTGAGTATACTATTCCAAGCATTTAAAGTGTATCAACTCTTTTCACAAAATCAACAATAATTATTATTGCTACCATTTATTGAGAGTCTACTTTAATCCAGGTGTTACATATTCATGTATTCATTATTATTACCTTTTTTTTTGAGACGAAATCTTGCTCTGTTGCCCAGGCTGGAGTGCGATGGCATGATCTTGGCTCACGGCAAACTCCGCCTCCCTGGTTCAAGTGATTCTCCTGCCTCAGCCTCCCGAGTAGCCGGGATTACAGGCATGTGCCACCATGCCCCGTTGGCCAGGCTGGTCTCGAACACCTTACCTCAGGTGATCCTCCCACCTTTGGGATTACAGGTGAGCCCAGCCTATTGTTACCTTTAAAACCACCCTGCAGGGTAGCTCTTACTGTCTCCATGAGGAATATCAGAAAAGGGAAAGGACTTCCTGGAGGGCTGGTTCTGCCTCAAGCCAATCAGCTGACACTAAGCAGTGAAGCCGGAATCTGAGGTCCCTCTGCCTGCCCTGGTCTTTGCTCACCCTGACAACCAGACACCTCACTGTGTCCTGAGCAGCATAGATGCCACACGCACAGTGCCACATAGAGAAGGGTGATGTAAATGAAAATTAAAACACTGTGACAAAGTCAAGCAGGGCATTTGTTTTTGTTGTTGTTAAGTTATTTTTGGTAGATACAGGGTCTCACTATGTTGACCAGGCTGGTCTTGAACTCCTGGGCTCAAGCAATCTGCCTGCCTCAGCCTCTCAGAATGTTGGGATTATAGACATGAACCACTGCACCCGGCCAGTGTCAGTCTTTGTTCCCTACAAGTGAAATCAAAACAGCCTCACGCCTGTAAACCCAGCAGTTTAGGAGCCCAAGGTGGAAGGATCGCTTGAGCCCAGGAGTTTGAAACCAGTCTAGGCAACATAGTGAGACCCTATCTATACAAAAATAAAAATAGCCTGGGCAGGGTGACTCATGCCTATAATCCCAGTACTTTGGGAGGCCAAGGTGGGTGCATCACTTGAGGTCAGGAGTTCGAGACCAGCCTGGCTAACATGGAGAAACCCTGTCTCTATTAAAAATACGCCTGTAGTCCCAGTTACTCGGGACGCTGAGGCAGGACTGCTTGAACCTGGGAGGTAGAGGTTGCAGTGAGCCGAGATCGCGATACTGCACTCTAGAGCCTGAGTGACAGAGTGAGACTCCGTCTCAAAAAAATAAAAATAAAAAATTAGCTGAGGGTGGTGGTGCGTGCTATACTCAGCTACTCAGGAGGCTGAGGTGGGAGGATCACCTGAGCCCAGAAAGTCAAGTCTGCAGTGAGCTATGATCGTGCCACTGCACTCCAGCCTGGGAGATGAGACCCTGTCTGAAAACAAACAAACAAACAAAAACCAAAATGGCTAAGTTTACAGCACCAAGTCTATCCCTTAACAGTATGACTGCTTTGAGTTCAGGCACGTGTCTAAGGGCAGCCGGTTCAGAGACCTTGACACCTGGTGGAGTCACAGAATCAAGACCCTGGGAAAACTTCTTATAGCTTATTTATTTAAAGCTTTACAATTGTTTACACTGCTCAGGAAAAAAAGAAAAAAAAAACCCAACAAATTATGGGTGTTCAGAGAGCTGTGTTAGCCCACAAAGTTCGAGGGAGAAACTGTCATTCACAGAGCTTGATTAACCACAGACTTAAATTTCAGGAGGAAGTAAGCTATGAAAAATCTGTAACCTCTGCCTGTCATATGCTTAGTTTGTTAAAGAAAACTAGAGAAGGAGCTTGTTATTCTTTAAATAGAAAAGCTCCAAAAAGCCCTAAAATGTTTTATCTGAATAAGTTCTCTCAGTAGGTATCTTAAGAATAATAGATTATAGTCAGGGGTTAGGGGCCAGCTCACAAGACTGATGCAAGTTCTTTAAGTTGTGATTGTGTCTGATGAAGAGGAATGCATACTTACATATTTGTGTAAGGAAGATTTCCTTATTGTCATTTCCTTCCATCGCTTGGTCCATAAAAGCAAAGAGGAAGGAAGGGAGGTCTGTGGTCATACACACTGTCACCCATGCTAAGAGAAAAGGTAGTTGAGAGCTCTGCCTGCCCACGTGCCCATCTGCTGGGTCATCCTTGTCCTATCAGGAGAGAAAGAGCACTTCCTTTCCTCAGTGGGACTGGGAGGAGGCAGCAGCCTCAGGCAGCTGGAAGGTGTGCCCCTGGGCCTCACACAGCTCTGGGGAGGTGGCACAGGGCTTCCTCTTTCATAGAGCTAATTAGGTTCTTATCTGTGCTACCAGATGAGCCCAGCTGCCAGCTCCTTACTTCATCTCAACCAATCCAACAGGCTATTCAAACCAACACTGATATTATTCTAGCAATATGTTTATGTATTTTGGACAAAAGTTTAAAGTAATTTAGTCCTCCATCTGTCACCTTCAGGCTAAAGTCCTTTATTTTCTTGGTGCATTGACCATGGGGCTCCATCTAGGCTCTGAAAGGATATTCCCTCAAGGCCCTGAGCTAGAGACCACAGGGTAACTCTACATGCTGTTCTCCTAATAAGATTTTGGTAACATCTGATTGTTTGCTAAAATCCCATTCAAAGCTCCTTCTACCTGGGCAGAGCCTGCCAAGTTGAGTTCAGCTTCAGTTGGATGAGTATGTCAAAGTCCCTGGCCATTCGAATAGCCATTTACCTAAGGCAAGAGCAAATGCTGGCTAAAGCATCTAATCACCATTTATTTATGTTGGTGATGTTGGGATTTGAGAGCACAGAGTGGAAGGTAGAAACAGGGTAGTGTCTGTAACTACCGTCAGATCTACTTCTTCACTTTCATTTTTAACATACAAGGTCCTTAAAAAAACCTTGGATTTTTTTTTTGTTGCGGGGGCGGGGTAGAGATGAGGTTTCGCTATATTGACCAGGCTGGTCTTGAACTCCTGGCCTCAAGTGATCC
The DNA here is from genome assembly GCF_000001405.40 of Homo sapiens. Taxonomy (NCBI): domain Eukaryota; kingdom Metazoa; phylum Chordata; class Mammalia; order Primates; family Hominidae; genus Homo; species Homo sapiens. Next base: position 47,206,681 of record NC_000012.12, on the reverse strand, counting down.
TTCTGCCTCAGTCCCCCAAAGAAAACCTAGCAGTTGAAAAATGATCAATTCATATAAAGAGAAACTGAAAAAAGACTTTTGCCTTGTCCCCAGCAGGCTGAGGAATTACCAAGGAGGCAGGAGGTGGAGCAAAACACACCAAGCCTGGTGCCAATCATTGACAATATTATGGTTAGTACTTACTGAGGGCTGACTATGGTTGAAACTGCCTTTGCAAAATTATGACTGAGACGGTGAAAGAGATCTAACTTAACCAACGCTAGCTATCTTGCCTCTAACCTCCAAGCTGTCCTTGTTCATTCCTGGGCATAGGCTGAACTAACTTTGGGAGAAATTTAGTTTATAGTTTGAAACAAAGATGATAACAGCCCTTTGCCAAAGCAGACCTCCTTCTTGTCTGGGGACTAGATGGCCTTTGTAGGACTAACATGAGCCACAAGATTAGAAATTATGGATAGGAGTCATGCAGCTGGAGTCTCCAAGATTCTGACCCTCCCTAAACTGCTCCCAAGATCAATGCTTGAGATATTTTGCAGACCCTGCATGTGATGGATCAGCTGACACCATCCAGATCGGTAAACTGGTTCATCTGATCTTGTGCCCTCCACCCAGGAACTGACTCAGCGCAAGAAGACAGCTTCGACTCCTTGTGATTTCATCCCTAACCAATCAGCACTCCTGGCTCACTGGCTTCCCCCAACCCACCAAATTGTCCTTAAAAACTCTGCTCTCCAAACGCTGGGGGAGACTGATTTGAGTAATAATAAAACCCTGGTCTCCTGCACAGTTGGCTCTGCGTGAATTACTCTTTCTCTATTCCAATTCCCTTATTTTGGTGAATTGGCTCTGTCTACGCAGTGGGCAAGGTGAACCCCTTAGGCGGTTACATGGTTATTGCCCCTTTTTTTTCCTTCCTTCCTTCCTTCCTCTCTCTCTCCCTCTTTTCCTCCCTCCTCTTCTCCCTCTTTCCCTCTCTTTCTTTCCTCCTATTCATAAAAACCTATTGAAACTGACTTTGCAAAAATTACAACTAAGAAAATTATGTCAGTGAAAGAAATCTGACCTAACTGACTCCACCTTGCTTCTAATTTCCAAGCTGTTACACCATTCCTGGGTATAGGCTGAACTAACTTTGGCAGGAACTTAGTTTATAGTATAACTTTGAAACAAAGACGGTAACAGCCCTTTGCCAAAACAAACCACCTTCCTACCTGAAGACTACACTGTCTTTGCAAGACTACCACCTTAGGTACCAGATTATAAATTATGGTTTAGGAGTCATGCAGCTGGAGGCTGCAGGATTCTGAACCTTTCCAAATTGCTCCTGGGGATAACGTCACTATAATAAAACCTAAGATCAGTGCTTGAGGTATTTTGTAGACCCTGTACTCCATGGATCAGCTGGTACCACCCAGATCGATAAACTGGCTCATCTGATCTTGTAGCCTCCATCCAGGAATTGATTCAGTGCAAGAGGACAACTTAGACTTTTTATGATTTCATCTCTGACCTGATCTATCAGCACGCCCCACTTTCCAACCCCCTACCCATCAAATTATCCTTAAAAACTCTGATCCCTGAACTCTGGAGAGGCTGATTTGAGTAATAATAAAACTCCAGTCTCCCATACTGTGGCTCTGCACGAGTTACACTTTCTCTGTTGCAATTCCCCTGTCTTAATAAACTGGCTCTCTCTAGGCAGTGGGCAAGGAGAACCTGTTAGGTGGTTACACTATTGGCTACATTAGTTTATGGTTACAGTATTTACATATAACCTCAATTACAAGGAAAATTAAATGATTACGGAGGCAACTGAACTAGAGTATCCAGATTCTTTTATACTAGGAGTCACTAAGTATATAGTATTTATTGCTAAATTAGAAATAAATGTTATGGCCCATCTGTAGACAATAAGGCAAATTCAGAGGAGCAATTAAGAGCCACCCAGAACCTTGACTTTTAGATGCATGACCTGCCTCCCCTGGTCTGTAGGCAGTGGAGGATTAAGGAAACAAAGTGCAAGGTAGCCCTGGGAGTAAATTAACAGCATAATACACACTTCAAGAACACCCAGAGATCTGTGAGTGAGACCAGGAGTTGCAAAGTTAAATGGCTGTAGGGACCAGACATGAGATACAAATGAATAAATGAGCAGGGTTTGTTCTTTGTATATAGATTCACTTTGCATATTAAACATGGAAGAGTATCAGGAAGTGAAGGACCTCTTCAAGGAGAACTACAAACCACTGCTCAAAGAAATCAGAGAGGACATAAACAAATGGAAAAGCATTCCATGCTCATGGATAGGAAGAATCAATATCATGAAAATGACCATACTGCCCAAAGCAATTTATAGATTCAATGCTATTCCCATTAAACTACCATTGACATTCTTCACATAATTAGAAAAAAAAAATTTTAAATTCATATGGGGGTTGGGCGTGGTGGCTCACACTTGTAATCCCAGCACTTTGGGATGCCGAAGCGGGCAGATCATTTAAGATCAGGAGTTCGAGACCAGCTTGACCAACATAGCGAATGAAACCCTGTCTCTACTAAAAATACAAAAATTAGCCAGGCATGATGGCACATGCCTGTAGTCCCAGCTACTTGGGAGGCTGAGGTAGAGGATCGTTTGAGCCTGGGAGGCGGAGGCTACTTTTAAAAAGTCAAAAAACAACAGATGCTGGCGAGGTTGTGGGGAAAAAGAATGCTTTTACACAAAAGAATGCTTTTACACTGTTGGTGGGCATATAAATTAGTTCAACCATTTGAACTTGTGGCAATTGACAGTGTGGCAATTCCTCAAAGACCTAGAGGCAGAAATACCATTAGACCCAGCAATCCCATTACCGGGTATATACCCAAAGGAATATAAATCATTTTGTTATAAAGACACATGCATATGTATGTCCATTGGAGCACTAGTAGCAACAGCAATAAATGAAATCAACCTAAATGCCCATCAGTAATAGACTGGATAATGAAAATGTGGTTCATATACACTGCAGAATACTATGCAGCCATAAAAGGAATGAGATCATGTCTTTTGCAGGGACAGAGATGGAGTTGGAAGCCATTATTCTTAGCAAACTAATGCAGGAACAGAAAACCAAATATTGCATGTTCTCACTTATAAGTGGGAGCTAAATGTTAAGAACACATGGACACCAAGGGTAGGGAACAACACACACTAGGGCCTGTCGGAGGGTGAGAGTTGGGAGGAGGGAGAGAATCAGGAAGAATTGCTAGTGGATGCTGGGCTTAATACCTGGGTGATGGGATGATCTGTGCAGCCAATGACAATGGCACATGTTTACCTATGTAACGAAACTGCACAACCTGCACATGTACCCCTAAACTTAAAAGTTGGAAATAAAAAATTTTAAAAAATTAAAAAAAGAAAAGAGAAGGCTGGGCACGGTGGCTCATGCCTGTAATCCCAGCACTTTGGGAGGCCGAGGCAGGTGGATCATCTGAGGTCAGGAGTTTGAGACCAGCCTGGCCAACATGGTGAAACTCCATCTCTACTAAAAATACAAAAATTAGCCGGGCATGGTGGCGGCTGCCTGTAGTCCCAGTTACTTGGGGGGCTGAGGCAGGAGAATCTTTTGAATCTAAGAGACAGAGGTTGCAGTGAGCTGAGATCATGCCACTTCACTCCAGCCTGGGCAACAGAGCCAGACTGTCTCAGGAAAAAAAAAAAAAAGAAAGAAAAGAGAAGTAATTCTTTACCATAAAGAATATACAGAGGTGAAAGTATAGTGGTAAATGAAAATTAATAGCCTCAGTATTGGGAACAATTGGGATTAGTGAGGATTCTGGCAAACTGGAGACCACATGTGTCATTTAAGAGCACAGTGGCCACTCTGCTCTAGTAGATTACTTCATGAGGGAATATGGCTTTAACTTGCTAAAATTCCAATTTTTCAAAAATAAAAAAACTGTAAATATATATTTTTATGAGCTGTATCCTGATTTTTAAACATTTCCTCAAATAAAAAGTTACTGCATAGGTAAAACCAAACAGTTTTGCAGCGTTGCAATTTTTTTTCTTTTTTCTTTTTTTTTTTTTTTTTTTTTTTTTACTAATGTCTAGACGTGAAGGAGTCAAATTCAGGCAAATATCTGGGAATCAGGGACCACATAGAATCAGATCAAACTGGGGCTGTGGGTAGAAGACATGTGAGCAGTGAGGACTGCAGAAGCTATGAAAGAACTAGAGATACAAAGTTCTGAAACTATCTTCGCCTTAGGAACAGACTTTCTCTTCTAGCTGTAGCAAAAGCCAGTAATGGTTTCCCAGGCAACATCCAGTCTGGCATAACCTGGAAGCTCATGTGCTTCTGCAATGCGGTATCATCTTTTGATGGGCAAATTTTGACATAATTTTCCAGACTTTTAACCAATCCAGGAATGGAAGCTTAGAATGTTCTATTGAATATCAACTCCCTGTCATTGCAAATATTAACCCTTCTATTATGTGCAAATAACTCTTAATGAATTCTCATTATCTTAGTAGCACATTAGAATCAGGTTCTCGAAGCCTGAATGCTTCATAAGTATCCTCTAGGTGATATTTATATTTTATTTGTGGTGCTTACAATGAATATAGATAACTGTATATTTGTAACATCAATATACTAACTAATATAGTACTTGATCTAAATGGCTTTAAATATTTCTTCATAATTGGGCAGAGCTTAGTGGCCTGTTTTCAGATAGATGCTCAGGTTTACACATACCACTCCTCAAAGACAAACTTAAAAATATTTGCTTCCAGGCCTGGTGCATTGGCTCATGCCTGTAATTCCAGCACTTCGAGAGGCCGAGGTGGGCAGAACACTTGAGCTCAGGAGTTCAAGACCAGCCTGGGCAACATGGTGAGACCCCCATCTCTACAAAAATACAAAAAATTAGCTCTGTGTGGTTGTGCACACCTGTAGTCTCAGCTATTCAGGAGGCTGAGGTGGGAGGATCACCTAAGCCCGGGAGGTTGAGGCTGCAGCGAGCCAAGATCGCACCATTGCATTCCAGCCTGAATGATACAGTGAGACCTTGTCTTAAAAAAAAAAAGAAAAAAAAATTTCTTCCTTTGTTAAGGAATAACAATAAAATACTGCTGGGCAGTATTGTAACGCCCAACCTTGTTTTTACTAACCCTGTTTTTAGAATCTCCCTTTTCCTTTAATCACCTAGCCTTGCTTCCACCTGAATTGACTCTCCCTTAGCTAAGAGAGCCAGACAGACTCCATCTTGGCTCTTTCACTGGCAGCCCCTTCCTCAAGGACTTAACTTGTGCAAGCTGACTCCCAGCACATCCAAGAATGCAATTAACTGATATGAAACTGTGGCAAGCTATATTCGCAATTCCAAGGAATTCGTCTGATTGATAACGCCCAAAGCCCCGAGTCTATCACCTTGTAATAGACTGAAAGCCCCTGCACCTGGAACCGTTTACTTTCCTGTAACCATTTATCCTTTTAACTTTTTGCCTACTTTATTTCTGTAAAATTCTTTTAACTAGACTCCCCCCCTCCCCTTTTCTAAACGAAAGTATAAAAGAAAATCTAGCCCCTTCTTCGGGGCCGAGAGAATTTGGAGCGTTAGCCGTCTCTTGGCCGCCGGCTAAATAAAGGGACTCTTAACTCGTCTCAAAGTGTGGCGTTTTCTCTAACTCACTCAGGTACAACAGTATCAATAACCACACTATCTGAAACTTTTTAAAAGCCTTTCAAATAACTTCAAACAAATGTCTATATTGTTTTTTAGAACACTGGGGAAACAGAATTTAAATGAACAACTGTGTCTTTTAATCCACATCGCATATGTCTGTTATTGTTTAAGTCTCATTATTATTTTTTCCACTTACTCTGCAGTGATCTGAACTGACATGGCCTAGCGTTACTGGTCCAGCAGAGCAGTGGAATTCTGTAGGCACACTGCACTAATATCAGCAAGGCATTTGGTGAGGGCATTTGCTGCCAAGTTTTGGAAATTATGATAGAGCTGCTACAAACATTCAAATGCAGGATTTGGGGTGGTCATAAGTCTTTAGCTCATTTGGATAAATGCCAACTCACTTGGGTAAATGGGAGTACGATTGCTGGATTCTATGTTAAGACTATGTTTAACTTTGTAAAAGCTGCCAATCTGCCTTGTGAAGTGGCTGTGGCATTTTGCATTCCTACCAGCAACAAATGAAAATTCTTGTTGCTCCACATCCTCACCAGCATTTGGTGTTGTCAGTGTTCTGATTTTCTAACCACTCTAATAGGGGTGTAATAGTATCTCATTGTTTTAGTTCGTAATTCCCTAATGATATATGGTATTGAGCATTTTTCCATGTGCTTATTTGCCATCTGTATGTCTTCTTTTGGTGCGGTGTCTATTCAGGTCTTTTGCCCGTGTTTTTACTTGGGTTGTTTGCTTTCATACTGTTGAATATTAACACTTTACATATTTTGGATAGAATTTTTTTTTTTTTGAGGCAAGATCTGTCTTTATAGCCCAGGCTGGAGTGCAGTGGTGTGAACTTGGTTCACTACAACCTCCCAGGGTTCAAGCCATCCTCCCACCTCAGCCTCCTGAGTAGCTGGGACTATAGGCTTGTGCCACCATACCTGGCTAATTTTCATATTTTTTTGTATTGTAGTGATGTGGTTTCACCATGTTGCCCAGGCTGACATTTTGGATAATACTTCTTAATCAGATATATTTGCAAATATTTTCTCCCTGTCTGTGGCTTGCCCTTTTATTTTCTTAACAGTATCTTTTGCCAAGCCGAAGTTCTTAGTTTTATTGAAGTCTCACTTATCAATTTTTCTTTCATGGATTGTGCTTTTGGTGTTGAAGCTACAAATTCACAACTAAACACAAGGTCACCTAGAGTTTCTTCTGTTATCTTCTAGAAGTTTTGCAGTTTTATATTTTACATTTAAGTCTATGATCCACTTTGAGTTAATTTTTGTGAAAGGTGCAAAGTCTGTGTTAGATTAACTTTTTTCTTATTTTGCATGTGGATGTCCTGTTGTTCTAGAACCATTTGTTGAAAAGATTAGTCTTTCTCTATTGAATTGCCTTTGCTCCTTTGTCAAAGATCAATTGACTGTATTTATATAGGTTTATTTTTCTATTTGTCTTTTCCTTCACAAATGCCACACTGTCTTGATCATTATAGCTTTATAGTAACACTCGATGCCAGATAGTGTCAGTCTTTCACTTCTGTTTTTTACAATATTATGTTGGCTATTCTGGGTCTTTTGCATTTTCTTATAAACTTTAAAATAAAATTATTAATATTCATAAAATAACTTGCTGATATTTGAATGTGGATTGTGTTGAATCTATAGATCAAGTTATCAGGAATAACTGGTAGCATGAGGAATTTGAGTCTTCCTATCCATGAGCATGAAATACCTCTTCATTTATTTAGTCATTTGATTTCTTTCATCACAGTTTTGTAGTTTTCCTTATATAGGTCCTTAGATTTATACCTAAGTAATTTTTTGGTGCAAATGTGAATGGTCTATTTTTTATTTCAAATTCCAGTTGTTCATTTCTGATATATAGGAAAGCAATTACATTTGTATACTAACTTTGTGTTATGTGACCTTGCTATAATTACTTACTATAATAGTTCCAGGATGGTTTTTTGCTGTTGTTGATTCTTTGGGATTTTCCTTCTTTTCTTTTTTCTTTTTCTTTTTTTTTTTGAGATGGAGTTTAGCTCTTGTTGCCCAGGCTGGAGTGCAATGGCACAATCTCAGCTCACTGCAACCTCTGCCTCCTGGGTTCAAGAGATTATCCTGTCTCAGTCTCCCAAGTAGCTGGGATTACAGGCATGTGCAACCATGTCTGGCTAATTTTTTGTATTTTTAGTAGAGACAGGGTTTCACCATGTTAGCCGGGCTGGTCTCAAACTCCTGACCTCAGGTGATCCGCCTGCCTTGGCCACCCAAAGTGCTGGGATTACAGGTGTGAGCCACCACACCTGCCTTCTTTGGGATTTTCTGCATAATCACGTCATCTGTGAACAAAGTTTTATTTCTTTCTTCCTTCTCAATCCGTTTACCTTGCTTTTTTTTTTGTTTGTTTGTTTTTTGTTTTTTTGGTCTTACTGCATTAGTTAGGGCTTCCAGTACAATGCTGAATAGGAGTAGTGAGAGGGAGGGGACACCCTTGCCTTGTTCTTGATCGTAGGGAGAAAGAATCTAGTTTCCTAAGATTAAGCATGATGTTAGGTGTAGTTATTTTGCAGTTATCCTTTATGAAGTTGAGATCCAGTTCCCCTCTACTCCTAGTTTGTTGAGAGATTTTTCTCTAAACTATGAATGAGTGCTGGATTTTGTCAAGTGCTTTTCTGCGCCTGTTAATATGAGCATATACATTTTTCTTCTTTAGCCTATTGATACGATAAATTACATTAATGATTTTCAAATCAATTGAACCACCCTGTATACCTCGAAAAAAAAGCATTTTGTTGTGGTGCATAATTCTTCTTATACATTGTTAGATTTCATTTGTTAATATTTTGTTGAGAATTTCTGGATTTATGATTGTGAAAGATATGAGTCTGTAGTTTTCCTTTCTTTTAACGTCTTTGTCTGGTTTTGATATAGGATTAATGCTGGCCTCATAGAATGAGTGAAGAAATGTTTCCTTCACTTCTATTTTCTGGAAGAAACAGTAGAGAATTGGTATCACTTCTTCCTTAAATGTTCAGTAGAATTAGCCAGTGAACCCATCTGGGCCTGGTGCTTTCTGTTTTAGATGGTTATTAATTATCAGTTAAATTTCTTTAATATATATTGGCTAATTCAGATTATCTATTTCTCTTTGTGTGGGTTTCAGTAGACTGTGTCCTTCTAGGAAATGGTCTATTTTCATATAAATGATCATATTTGTGGGCATAGAGTTGTGACTAATATTCCTTTAATATTCTTTTAATGTCCATGGAGTCAGTAACAATGGCCCCTTTTTCATTTCTGATTATTAGTAATTTATGTCTTCTCCCTTTTTTTGTATATCATTGTATTTTATTTTATTTTATTATTTATTTATTTATTTTTTTGAGACAGAGTTTCACTCTTGTTGCCCAGGCTGGAGTGCAATGGCGCGATCTGGACTCACTACAACCTCCGCCTTTTGGGTTTAAGCGATTCTCCTGCCTCAGCCTCCCGAGTAGCTGGGATTACAGGCACCCAGCACAATGCCCAGCTAATTTTTTGTATTTTTAGTAGAGATGGGGTTTCACCATGTTGGCCAGGCTGGTCTCAAACTCCTGACCTCAGGTGATCCACCTTCCTCGGCCTCCCAAAGTGCTGGGATTACAGGCGTGAGCCACTGCACCGGGCTATCATTGTATTTTAATATGCAATGACTTTTTTTTACAAGCGAGGGCAGATATGTTTTTATATCTTTTTTTTTTTTTTTTTTTTTTTGAGACAGAGTCTCACTCTGTCACCCAGGCTGGAGTGCAGTGGTGCAACCTCAGCTCACTGCAACCTCCGCCTCCCAAGTTCAAGTGATTCTCCTGCCTCAACCTCCTGAGTAGCTGGGATTACAGGTGCCCGCCACCATGTCTGGCTAATTTTTATATTTTTAGTAGAGATGGGGTTTCACCATGTTGGTCAGGCTGGTCTATCATCTGTTTTTTTTTTTAAATAAACTGCCAATTTGTGTACTTTGCCTACTTTTCTATTTTATCTAAGGATTATTACATATTAAGTGTATTAACACTTTGGCCTGCCATCCATGCTGCAAATGTTTTCATTTCAGCTTATTATTTTTCTGTTAATTTTATGTTCATATTTTTTCATATATAAAGTTTATTTTTTATATATTTTTTAATTTTTAAGATGGAGTCTTGCTCTTTTGCCCAGGCTGGAGTGCAGTGGCACGATCTTGGCTCACTGCAACCTCCGTCTCCTGGGTTCAAGCAATTCTACCTCAAACTCCTGAGTAGCTGGGATTACAGGCGCCCGCCACCACGCCCAGATAATTTTTGCAATTTTAGTAGAGACGGGGTTTTACCGTGTTGGCCAGGCTGGTCTCGAACTCCTGGCCTCAGGTGATCTGCCTGCCTCGGCCTCCCAAAGTGCTGGGATTACAGGCGTGAGCCACGGTGCCCAGCCCATATATAAACTTTAGATGAAGTTTTTCAGTGTTTTTAAATTGTTTCTTCCTTTGCTACTGTGCTAAATAATACCTAAAACTTACTGAGCATTTACTGTATGTCAGGCAACATATAGTGATTTATATGTATTACTTAAGTTAAGCTTGAACAATCCTTGAGTTAGGTACTATTATCTCCATTTTATGGATCAGAAAACTGAGGCACAAATAGGTTGAGTATCTTGTTTCTGGTAGGCACATCTAGTAAGTGGCAGAGCCAGGATTTGAAGCTAGTTGCTCTAATGCCAGACACTTAGCTACTAAGTTCTACTGCCTCCTAGCAAAGCACTATTAAGTTGAAGTTGATATTATTTACCTACTTTTTTATGGTTACATATTTTTAAAAAGTTACACACATAAACACTCTACTTTAAAAATGTCAATATATTCAAATTTTGTAACATAGTGTTATATGTAATAGTCTTTGCAAAGTTAAAAGAATTCATTTATTTTGGAACTGAAATTAATGCATCACCTAGTTTGACTAATCTTTGGAAAATTGGGCTAATAGAATATTGGAAGGTGTGGGAAGAATTGTAATAGAGACCAGAAAACTAAGCAGTTTTTAAAAAATGTAATTATTAAGTTCAAGAAAAAAGCAAATGGTTAATAAAACATAACCATAGCCCGTATATTATAACATTAAGTTCTGACTGCTATCTGCATGGGCATAATAAAATGAATAATGAATATTTAACTATACATAAAATGTGAATAGAGGGTGAGGAAATGAAGAATGAAAAAAGTGGGAACAGACAACTCTGGTAGACTCAGGTATGATTTTCTTAGATCTTCCTGACTCACTTCAATATCTGATATTAAACTCTACTGGGGCTGCTGTGAGCAACCTTCTTGTTTCTGGCCCTTACTGTAGCATGTTACTTACAGGGGCTATACCTTCCTTAATACAACACCCATCCCTCCTCTACTCTACTATGGTGGGGTTTTTTTTTGGGTAGTTGCTGCCTCTAAGTGAATTTAGAAAGATAATCAGAGGAAGGAGGGTGGGTAGAGGGAAAATGAATAAATTTGTAGTCACCAGCTATCAGATAGGTTTGGATTGTACACATAATTAATATGGAGAAAAATTGTTTCATTTTCTCATGATCCTCATTTTCTCCCTCGAGACATTAGCTGTCACCTTCAGAAATATTTCTTTTTTTCTTTTTTTTTTTTTGAGACAGAGACTCGCTCCATCGCCCAGGCTGGAGTGCAGTGGCATGATCTCGGCTCACTGCAACCTCCGCCTTTTGGGTTTAAGTGATTCTCCTGTCTCAGCTTCCCGAGTAGCTGGGACTACAGGTGTGTACCACCATGCTCGGCTGATTTTTGTATTTTTAGAAGAGACGGAATTTCGCCTTGTTGGTCAGGCTGGTCTCGAACTCCTGACCTCATGATCCACCCGCCTCCGCCTCCCAAATGCTGGGATTATAGGCGTGAGCCACCGCGCCCGGCCTACTTTTAGAAATATTTCTAAAGATGAATTCCAAAAGACTAAAACAGGCTTTTCTTCCCCCCTCTCATACAAGAACACATTTCTTCATTTAACAAGTTAAATATATAATACTAATAAATAATTCACAATACTCAAAATGAAGATAATAACTTTAAAGAAGAGGAATTATGAAACAGGATAAGTGGCCAGTGCTGTTTCTGAACACAACAATGCCATTTACTCTCGAATTTAGCCACACGGCACCTTTCTCTTCCTCATTAAAACCCTGGCCACATATTGCTGCTTCTGCCATCTAAGGTCTGTTCTTTAAATAGCACATGGAACTCCGACCGGTATGACCTTTCTTGTTGGCAGGTCATCTGAGGATATTAACTGGAGTACTTTGTCCCACAGTTCCCAGAAGAGCAGGAGACCTCAATATTCTAAGAAGCTTCACTGTTGAAAGTCTAAGTAGTTTGCCAAAAATGATTGATTTTCTTTACACTAAGGAAATTTCTCTTGTGTTTGCAATAAGTAGCTATCAAAGGGACATTTGTGGTTCTAAATTAGTTCCAGTACCTGTAAAGAGACCCATCCCAGCAAGGTGCGGTGGCTCACGCCTGTAATCCCAGCACTTTGGAAGGCCTAGGCAGGTGGATCACGAGGTCAGGAGTTCGAGACCAGCCTGACCAACATGGTGAAAGCCCATCTCTATTAAAAATACAAAAATTAGCTGGGCGTGGTGCTGCGCGCCTGTAATCCCAGCTATTCAGGAGGCTGAGGCAGGAGAATCACTTGAACCCAGCAGGTGGAGGTTGCAGTGAGCTGAGATCGTGCCACTGCACTCCAGCCTGGGCGACAGAGTGAGACTCCATCTCAAAATAAAAAAAGACCTATTCCTGAGAGGAGGCAGGCAGTGGGGAGACAGATGTGTTTCAGGAGCATGGAGGGAAGTTATCTGAAAAATGCTGGCTGCAAAGGGCAAGCGGCCACTCCTGCAAGGAGGTCTCAACACAGTATGACCAAGGGCCCTGCAGGTGGCAGAGCACAGCAAAAGCACAGCAAGAGCATGTGGTATTTATTCAAAGCCAAGGGAGGTAGGCAGGAAACCAGAATGCAGCTTAGTGAGGGCAAGAGCAAGGCAGGGCCCCAGCCCCAGCAAGACTGAGCAATGAAATGGCTTTAAAATAACAACAATCTGCAGTTATCAAAACTGGGGCCAAAATGGCAGACACCCTGAAATAAACTGGTGAAATGCAATCTTAAAACAGATGAACAGCAAATGAGCTAGAATCTTGGAGACTATTTGGTTGCCTCATATGATTTATAGGACTGGAGCAATGTTGCTGATCCTTATACTGAAATTTATGTCACGGGGAGAAAATATAATTCTAACTTACTAGAGAACCATGATTGAAGCTACTCAGGGCTGAGTGGGCAGAAGTATATCTTTGTCTCTGAGGGAAATTGTAAGACTTGCTTGTAGTTTATAAAAGTCATCCATAATTTTTAATCTTTTGTTTTGGGGGTCAGCCAAAATCCTACACCCTAACTATTGTAATCCAGGCGAGTGAAGGCAGTAATCTGAATTACCATGGTGATTGAGGGTTGGGGAGAAGGTGATGGGCTGAAACAATGACTGGAGTGGAAAGGGGGAAGGGGGCAGGAATTCAGGAATTGTGAGCAGGGAATTATTATAAAGAATGGTTCCCTGGTTTCTGCATTGGCTTGAACAACTCTGAGTGGACAGTGATGCTCATAGGAAGTGGGGACGGTCAGATGCCGGAATGCAAAATCCGGTCTCACTTTGTACTTCCTGTGTGAACCTGAGTCAGTTACTCAACCTCTCTGAGGATACAACAAATTTGAGAGTTCATATTTTGGTACATATGAGAGTCTATTAATTGTTAAGCCCTACAGTAAGTGATGAGAGTAATAAGACAAATAGAATACAGCTCTTGAATTCATTTTTTGCAGTCAGCTAGGAGAGACATGCAAAAACAATTAGCAAAATACAATGGGAGAAGCGCTAAAATATCTGTGTGCATAAAGCATTCAGTAAGCCCAGAATAATGTACTCTGCTTGCAAATATGGGGATAAGGAAGGTCTCATGTAGACGTGAGGAAAGAAGAATGGACATTGGAGCTAGGCTTGAATGAATAGTTTCACCAAAATACATTTTCTTTGTGATCTTAGACAAATTAATCTCTCCGAGCCTTAGTTTCCTCAGTTGGGGTTAATGATAGTACTTGTCTCAAGGAATGATGGTTAAATGAAATAATGCATGAAAAATCCTCAGCACAGTGCCTGTTACACAGCAAGAACTCCATGAATGTTTGCTATTTTTATTACCATTATTGCTATGGAGAGCCCTGGGAGTCAGTCAGCTCTGATGGACTCAATGATGTATCAAAGTCACAGCTAGTTAGTACCAGAGACTGGACCAGGATCCAGGCTGCCACTTTTATTCTCTAAAATGAAAGGAGAGCTCTGCCCTCGTCCAATTCCACTTTTTCCACTGAAGATTAAATTGGATTCTTTTATGTAAAGTGGACTCTCCAAGTGACTTTTCCCAAAGGAAAGTTTTGAATGAAATCATTTACCATTTGAATGAGCTCATATCCAAAAGGAGCACCCATTTGGATAGAGCCGATCAGTCTGCAGTATATACAATTTCACTTTGCTTACTGGTCATCTCCATTTTTTTTCCAGGCTACATATTTTTCTTATTTCAGCCTTCTAAACTCCCTGTTCTCTGCAGCCTATTTAATTGACTTTCATATCAAAGGAAAGTGAAAGCAAAAATAGGTTTTACTTATAATCAACATGCATTTACTGTTTGTCGTGATTTAGAAGCTCTTTGCTGGCACTATGGAAAGAGGCAAAAAAAAAAAAACAAAAAAAAAAAGCGTAGCCTCCATTTTTGAAATAGTTAAAGCAAGCCAGATCCACATAAAATAAGAAAACAGTAATTCTAGAACAATGTATAGATATTCTACAGTGATACGGGGTGGATTGAATACATTTATACAAAGGAGGCAAATTAAATTGGTGTTCTATTGAGTTGGAGTTAATGAGGATGTACAGAGAGAAAACAGTCAATCATTTCTGTGGCAAGCGCCATGTTAGGTGCTCCTATAGAGTATCTAAAGAAAATGATGTCTGAGTTAGCTCAAGAAAATGGTAATGGACTCAGATTGGCAAAGAGAAAGGCAGGCAAGTGGTTCTCATCAGAATCACCAGGTCCTTAAAAAAAAAAGCACAACACAACAAAACAAAAAAACCAAAAAAACCCCAAAACTTTTGTGTCCAGGCCGCACCCTCAGCGATTCTGCCTCAATTCCTCAGGGTGAGCAGCCCAGGTGTCCAGCTTTATGAAGGTTCCCAGGGCAATCTATTTTGCAACCTGGGCTGAAAACCTCTGCTTTAGGGCAAAGGCTGGATGATGACTATGCCCAAGTCCTGGGTGGAGAGAGGCAGGCCTGCGGTATTTCTTCTTCCGGATTGCAATGGAAACATGACTTCCCCCAATTTGCCTAGGATGAGAGTAAAGTGAATGCATTGGGTTGTGAACATGTGAACGTTTGCCTGGGGAGGGTCAAGGTGAGGATTTGGGAGAAATAATCTTTTGAGATCTTATAGAACTGCTGAATGCTGACACTGGGGTATAGAATTAGGAAGAAACTTAGAGATTTTAAACAAAAATAGTGGTCTCTGAGGAATTAAATGTATGGAGTCGTAAAGCTGGCAGAAGATAAAGGAGTGAAAAAAGTCTGGAAACAGACAGCTCAGGGCTTTAGGGTCAGTGGTGTCCCTTTGTAAAAACTGCTTCAATTCAACCTCATTTGTAAATGGGCATACTCATAGTAGCCCTGTGTGTCTGTTGGGAAGGTGATGTCACCAAGCCTATATTATAAAAATCGTAAGATGTTCATTTTACTTCTTCCTCTTTCTTTGTCCTTGTCTTCCTCCATGCATGTTTGCTTGCACATAGTCATTTCGTTAGAGGGTAGTCATTAATAAGTGATTAACTTCATATCCTGACCCCCAGGGGCTGTCTGCAAGATTAATGAACTGGTTTTTCTTTTAAAGAACAATGATCCTTAGGTCATGGAGACCTCCTTGATGGCATCCAGAAGTTCGATTGGCTGAGGGACACAAGCAGCTTTCATCATCAGAGAATCTCACCTCCCACATATCTACCTTACTCGTAAAAGCCCCCCAGTTATGTTCAAAGACAGGTGGGGTTTGAGAGGTGCCTCTCGCACCCTCATGCTGTAGCCAATTTGAATAACCTTTCTGTGCTCCTAAGCACTGATGTGTCAGTGTTTGGCTTACTGGCATCAGGTACTCAACCTAAATCTGCAACAGTATGAGATAACATGCAGAGAGCACAGAGTGCCATGCCTGCCACGCAGAAACCAGTAAGCATGAGTTAGTGTTACTATTGTTGTTTGAAAGGATCAAGATTCTGTGTAAATGAGTCACAGGTATCCCAGATGCAGGATTTGCATAGCTGCTATAAAGAGGG
This sequence comes from Homo sapiens, assembly GCF_000001405.40. NCBI lineage: Eukaryota > Metazoa > Chordata > Mammalia > Primates > Hominidae > Homo > Homo sapiens. The sequence goes on along the minus strand of NC_000012.12, from coordinate 47,190,538 downwards.
TTTCCCACTGAAACTGGTGTAGGCATAAAGAACCCTGTGTTTCTCGTACAAAGGGAATTGAGAGAAACCACTTCATCCTTAACCTGCAGGGAGCTGGAGGAAGAAAGACCTGGAAGAGGCGACCAAAGTGAATGCATGGGTGCCAAAGGTTGGAGACCAGGACAAGGAGGAAGTGGGTTAGAACAGATGGAACTTGGGTGAGGTCTGTATCTATTTTGGAAACTGAAGCCCAGAACTGGGGCCACAATGGGGCAGGCTTTCACTTGCTCCCATTTATGAACCAACCAGCACCATGGGAAGAACGGGGTGGGATAGACTGAGAGACAACTGAATTGTATGCATTTTTGCTTTTTGGCTGATTATTCCAACTCAGGATTACACGAACTAATGCATGTGAAAGCATTTCCTAAATAACAAAACACTATGCAAATAGAGTATTAACATTTTTCTTCTGTGTAGAATTTATACCTAGAGATTCCCTCAAGTGATACTGAAGTAGTTTCTGCACTTCAAGCAGGTGTCTGAGCACAGTGCATAGAGGAGGGTCTGTGGGACTGGGAGTGGCCAAGGGAGGAGCCGAGCAGGGCTGGAAGAGCTGACCCAAGAGGCAGCTCTTCTGTGGATCCCAAGCCTGGAGCAGCAGAAGTTATGCTGAGGTTTTGCCAAACATCCCCAGAGTCTTCTGTTTGGAAGTTTCAAGGATATGCATTTTGTTAGTAGGGTTAGATGAGGTGAAAATGCGAAGCTGGTGATAAACGAAAGTTGTGCTTCAAGAGTTTGGCTCCTAGTCCATGTTTATTAATTGTTTGCTGAAATGAAGACAAGTGTGAGATGGTAATATAACACTAAAGTGTGCTAATAAGTCCATGGTGCTATGCTGAAAGTGCAAATAAGACCTTGCAAGTAAGTCCATGGTGTTTTGGATTTGATGTTAGCGGTAGCAGAAAGCCACTAATATAAGCCTTGAATGGTGTTCAGGGATCTTGTAAACTACTGAAAAGTGAGGAAATAAATGTATGTCCAAGGTCATTCATTTATTTAGCGGCCTTTAAAGAGGAACATTTTCACTGTGAGATAATAGTTGCTGTAGTGACTTATTTAAGCAAGATTACAGGCTCTTCTCTAAACAGGGCTGCACCTCTCCATTCACGGCACAAGAATGCACAATAGACTGGATTTTGAAATCAGTCTGCCTTCTGCTAACCAAGCCATGCACCCTAGTGTAGGGCTGCATCTCCTCAGAGAAAAGGACACATTTTTCCACTTTGCACAAAGGCATCCAATGGGGTAATGGCGGCCCTGTCTTGAACAATCTAAAAACACAATGCATGCTTTTCTGCTTAGACAACTTCTCAGGGTCACTTTCAGACACTGGGCTAAGAACCAATGAAACAAGCAATAAAGCTGAAGAAAAAGAAGATAAAAAACAATCAAAATGTAAGATAGAGGAAATGAAAAAGAACAGCAAAGTGAGCTGAATCATGAACAGCAGGAAATCTCGAGATAAGTGGAGGCTGTCCCTACATATTTCTGGTACTTTGAGTAAACATGGAGAGAAAGTTCACAGTGACCTAATCAGAAGCAGAAATGAAAATGGGGCAAAATGCCATGTGGGGGCATTTTGCAATAAGAAGCAACAGGAGTCTGGCACCTAAATCCAGCAACTGTGTAGCCAGGGTTGGAAAAAGTCCAGGTTACCAGCAACATGCCTGTTTTTTACGGAGAATGAGTGAAATGAATATGCTCCCAATGGTCCTCTGAGTTCTTCACATTCATCCCAACTCCCTTGCTCCTCTGCTCCAGCACTGCAGTGGAACTGGATGGCTACAGCTTACATTGCACGTTTCAATTTGGGCGATGGATGAGAACTTCTGTACTATGTTTGCATCTGCAAGACTCTGCTACTCTTGTTTTTAACTTCTGGATGTTCAGGTACACATTGAAAAAAGGAAGTCCTTAACTCTGAGAAGCAGTATCGTCCTGAAACTACCTAAGAAATGGCTCAAATCCTTTCAATTTCCAAGGAAAGCAAAAGTTACACATTAGAAACTGAGATGACAATACCTAAGCATATAATTTCATTGAGATAGATTAGATTAGCTTCAGGGACATATATGGCTCACAGTATATTCCATGCTTCTCCATAGGCCAGGAAGATTTGCAGCTAACACCCTTCCTGAATTCTTGTCCCTATAGGGCTTTTGTGTGGGACATCATTGATCCCTATGAGTTCCAGCTGAGGAATTTATGACATATTCTATTCCCCCCTGAGATTAGCCTTTAATAATTTATTTATTCATCCAACATTTAAGAGACCCCAATGGTGTTAGATGCTGGGAACCCAAAGACAACTAAGGCAAGATCACTGTCCCCAAAGTCCTTAGTAAGGGGAGATAAGACATGTAATTTTTAAAAGCCACAAAATGCTATGGTGCCATGACAGAGGTATGTCTGGGGAACAGAAGGGACTCCAAGAAGGAAGAGGTGCTTCCAGGTAAGACAAACTGTGGAAATAAAGCAGCTATAGGGCAAAGAACTTGTTGCAGTCAGGAAGATGCAGGTAGATCAGGTGACCAATTACAATCCTGTTCTTGGAGCTGGTAGGATAAAGGACAGACCCAGGTGGAAGAGGCGCAGGTGAAAGTTTTGCTCCTTCTGGGGTCTTCCTCTACATTTTGACCCAGGCCCGTCTAGGTGGAAATGTAGAGGAAGACCCCAGGAGAAGCATAACTTTCCTTTAACCCATATATCACAAGACTTGGCTGCCTTATGATGAAGCTATAGTTCCCAAATATGTCTTCAATGAAGAAAATTTAATGTTTAGGAATTCTAGAACTTGCAGAGTTGGGAGTTGCCTGGGAGATGAAATGTTCTCTCCATCACCTCCAGCCCTTGGTGCTGAGTTCATTAGCATGTTTAGTTCTAATTTTAGCTATGAAAAAATATATTTTAAAATATTGACACATTTATTATTTAGTGCTGGATTTAACTGTTTACACTTTCACTGATAAAAGATTAAAAATATGTCTTACTATATACTGCTGCCTATAGTTAAAACAGCATCCCTGTTTCTCTTTTTCTCTCTTGTTCTCTATTTTTGAAACTGAGTTAATAATCCCCTTGATGTAGAGATGGGGGATTTTCATCAGTACCAGATCATTTCACCTGCCTTTTCTCCTCCCTGAGATTTCCAATTTCCTGGTGCTTCCTTTTCACTACATTTACCACCCATTTCTTGGTTTTAGGTAAGATCCCATGGTCTCTCCCTATGAACACTATCTCTCACATAGTGTCAGCATTTCTAACTTCTTACCCTGGAGCTATCCACCTGGATCTTTCACCTAAACTCCTGAGTGCTTCTGGAGAAGGTAAAGATCTGTTTTGAGATGAATCTCAAACACTGTTAAGTAGGGCAGCATTTCTAAAGTCCACAGAGCAGCACAGTGGTCCACCTTCAAGTGTGATAGGCACTACCCACTACCTCCCCAAGAGCCATTTTCCCTTCTTTCAGTGTGTTCAGGTGGTAAGGAGAGATCTTTGCTTCCAAGGAGAGTGGTCCCCGACTCCAGGATAGGCCTAACCAGTCATGGAAATCTCCTTCCCTTTATCAATTGGTTGTTCTTGGTTTGGGCATTTGACCTTGTTCTGGCCAATAGGATATAAAAAGAAATCAGCTGGAGATATCCTAAGTAAAGACAAGATTTTGTGCTGTGTTAATTTCCTTGGGCTGCCATCACGAAGTATCACAAACTGGGTAGATTACAACAGAAATGTAGTATCTCACAATTCTGAAGGCCCTCAGACTGAAATAAGGTGTCAGCAGGGCCATGCTCCTTCTGAAAGCTGTAGGGGAAAAAACCTTTTCTTGTCTCTTCCTGGCTTCTGATGCTTGCCAATGAAGGGGTTTGGATTATGCCACCCCACAATATGCCACTCTGGCATATGGATTATTTTGACTTGAAGGCAACTGAGAAAAAGCAGACCCAGGATGAGATCTCTGTCCGCCTCCTATCTGCCTGAAAACAGAACATAAGCTCCCCTTGTGAAAGTGCCCCCCTCTACCCCCCTACCAGTAAAGGGATAACATAAAGGGACAACACCTTATCACTGGAGACAAGATGTCATCCAGAGGAATCTACAAAAACAAAACGTATTAACTAGCCCTCATCTACCATAAGTTTCCCCATATATTTGCCTTCCCACAATTTGCTGCCCCTAGAAGCTCAAAGTCATTTTCCTTTGTCTTGCCACTTCTCTACAAAATTATTGTTCTTTGCTCAATTCTATGTAAGTTCAAGTTCTTTTTTTTTTTCTTTTTTTTTAGACGGAGTCTCACTCTGTCACCCAGGCTGGAGTGCAGGGGCGCGATCTTGGCTCACTGCAACCCCTGCCCCCTGGGTTCAAGCAGTTCTCCTGCCTCAGTCTCCTGAGTAGCTGGGATTACAGGGGCGTGCCACCACATCTGGCTAATTTTGTTATTTTTAGTAGAGATGGGGTTTCACCATGTTGGTCAGGCTGGTCTCAAACTCTTGACCTCGTGATCCGCCCACCTTGGCCTCCCAAAGTGCTGGGATTACAGGTGTGAGCCACTGCACCAGACTAAGTTCAAGTTCTAACCACTCCTTTGAATTACTTATTACTGAATACTCCTATGTGTATGTGCAATGCATATTTCAATAAACTTGTTTGTTTTTCTCTTGTTAATCTGTCTTTTGTCAGTCTAATATACAGTCTTTTTTTTTTTTTGAGACTGAGTCTAGCTCTGCTGTTGCCCAAGCTGGAGTAGTAGTACCACGATTTCAGCTCACTGCAACCTCCACCTCCCAGGTTCAAGCAGTTCTGCTGCCTCAGCCTCCTGCATAGTTGGGATTACAGGTGCCTGCCACCAAGCCCAGCTAATCTTTGTATTTTCAGTAGAGATGGGGTTTCAACATGTTGGCCAGGCTGGTCTCGAACTGCTGGCCTTAAGTGATCCACCCCCGTCAGCCTTCCAAAGTGCTGGGATTACAGGTGTGAGCCACCGTGCCGGGCCACTCTAATATGCAGTCTAATTTTCCCTAGCTGGAGAACCTAGGATGGGTACAGAAAAGGTAATTATTTTCCTCTCCTACACCAGCAATACTTGGCATTCCTCGGCTTGCAGCTTCAATACTTCAACTTCTGCCTCCTTCTTCACAGGGCTGTCTTCCCTCTGTGTGTGTCTCTGCCTTCACATAGCGTTCTCTTCTTGTGTCTGTCTCTGTTTTTTCTTTTTGTAAGGACATCAGTTATTGGATTAGGGCCCACCCTGGTTCAATATGACCTCATCTTAACTAATTACATTTGCATTCCAAATAAGGCCACATTTGCAGGTATCTGGGTTAGGATATCAACATATCTTTTTTGGGGACACAGTTCAATCCATATAAAGGCCTTTTGCTCCTGCCTTTCATCTACCTGGAGATGCAGCAACATCTTGTGACTATGAGGCTACAAACATGAGGAAACAAGTTTACAAGCTAAAGCTGGTGGAAAGGAAAGCTAGGGAAAAAGAAGGAGTCTGACAGCATTACTACACAGTTGAACTACTGCCAGCAACCACTCACCTCTAGACCTCTTGCTAGGTAAGAAAAATAACTCCAGGTTACTTAACCTCTGCCAGGTTTCTTTCACCTGTAGCCAAAAACATTCCAATGCATACACAAAACTTTCCCTAGTTCATAATAAAATTAGAAAAATAAGTAAGGTAATAAAATTTTCATAGATCTGGATTCATTAAATTTAAAGGACTAATCTTTGTTCTGAAATTATGTTATTCCCACTTTTAAAAAATTAAAATATCCTTTCTTTTATGAAATGACGGTATTTGTAGATTGTAATTTTTTTTTTTTTTTAGTGTCTTTGGTAAAAGAAGGAAGGAAAAAGGGAAGGGAAAAAGGAAGGAAGGAAGGGAAGAAAAAAGATTTCAGAAAGTCTTTCTCTAATTTTTAAAAATTCTTTTACTTAGCTTGTGAAACTCAAAAGTCTGTGATGAGAAGAATGCTAGCTAAACTTGCTTTGAAGGGCTAGAACCAGTGGTGTGTGCTGGAGCTGCTGGCAGCAGTTACCGAGAGCAGATGGTTAAATTTCCAGGAAGCTACTTGGCATCACCTGGATGGTTTGAAATCCAATGTGGCGGGAGTATTTGCATCATGGAAATCTGCAAATGCTATAAATCAAACCACCTCCCCTTCCCCAGCTGGTCGTTTACCAGCACACCACTGTCTCCAGCCTGCCTCTTGCAAGTAGCCAGAGGGTAAGCATGCAAGGTACAGCTCACACCAACTAAAACACACATGGGATTGAGGTAAACTTCATTTACTAATTTATACATTTACAATGGAAAATATTCTTGGCCTGGTGCGGTGCAATCCCAGCACTTTGGGAGGGCCAAGGTGGGAGAATCGCTTTAGCCCAGGAGTTCAAGACCAGCCTAGGCAACATAGGGAGACCCTTTCTCTACAAAAAAGAAAAAGAAAAGAAGAAAAAGAAAAATATTCTCTCTATTGCTGGTTTAAGTACCTAATGGTCTATTTTCCTCAATAAAATGTCAGCTCTGCCTCAGCAGGAACCATATCTGTTCTGTTCATGCAGTATCCCCACTGCCTAGCATAGCACCAACTGGTGCGGGGGCCCTTGTCTTCCTTGGAGTCATGATCAGAGATTCTGTAGTTATCAGAACACTGAAGGAATCAAAGTCTATTAAAACATAAAAAAAAGTTTACGAGTGCAGGAAGTCTGTATACAGATGAGTCCCTGTCCTCACGTGGCACACAATTCTAAGATGGCTGAGCAAAAATATGCAATTAACAAAAGCACTTTGTAATTTCAAGTAGTGAAAGTTACCAGGATGTGAGTTTTAAACAGTCTACTGTACTGTGTTCAGTAAAATACCCGTTCAATGGGTGATATATAGGTGTTAAAAAAAAAAGAAATGGTTCTGTAGCTAGTATATTTGGGAAGTGCTGGTTAACCCAAGTTAAATCGATTTCTTTATTGTTAAACTTCTCTGAGCCTTTAATATGATGTTGATATGTGGGACTCTATTTTGAACATGCATATTTTGAGATACATTGCCTATTTAAGTGTCCCACAGAGCACATGTTAGGAAACACTAGCACATTGCTATCTTAGATTTCTCAAAAGGTCTCTACTTCCTTGAGGTAATTTTCTATCAGGCACTAGAGCAAAATATATTTAGAAATTCCATCCCTAGACAGCAAGAGATAGACAGTTCAGAAGTTTTCTATGTACATTCTGCCCACCTCTTTACCTATATATAATCACTATGATATAAATGTTTACCTATTATAATTTGTGAGTACCTGAATTGTAGCACTCTATTTTTCCCTAATTGGCAAAAGTTCATTCCCTAATTGGGTAGCTAACACTCCCAAGATATCAGATATGTTATTTGATTAGGATGTTAATCCTCTTTATGTCACCTGTTTTCCAAATGGTATAAAGAATAAAAATCATCCTTTGAATCATTGCCAAAAAAAAAAAGAGAGACCCCTGAAGCCATTCTAATTTAGCTTTTAGCTGTTGGGTGGAACTAAACTCTGTCTATCCCAGTAAGACACTCCATTTGCATTTATAATCTCTGGGGTGATGAGTTTCAAAATATTGTTTGTTTATATGTCCTCATTTTTGCGTATCCTTATGGGCAGTTGGATGTTTCTGCTCTTAAGGCAGTATGGTGTGGCGAGTGAGAGCTAGGGTTCTGGAGTCAGCCTGAGTTCAAGTTGCAGCTCAACTGTTACTAGCTATGTGGTCTTGTGCAAATTACTTAAGCCACAGTTTTCGTCAACTGTGCAATGGGAGTAATAGCACTAATAATCTGCCTCCTGAGTTACTGGAAGGCTGTTAAAAAGATAATAGGTATAAAGCACTCAACATAGTAGTATTCTTTTTTTTTCTTTTTTTTTTTGAGATGGAGTCTCGCTCTGTCACCCAGGTTGGAGTGCAGTGGCGTGATCTCGGCTCACTGCAATCTCCACCTCCCAGATTCAAGTGATTCTCATGCCTCAGCCTCCTGAGTAGCTAGGATTACAGGCACGTGCCACCACGCCCAGCTAATTTTTGTATTTTTAGTAGACATGGTGTTTCACCATGTTGTTTGGCTGGTCTCAAAGGCCTGACCTTGTGATCCGCCTGCCTCAGCCTCCCAACGTGCTGGGATTACAGGCTGAGCAACCGTGCCAGGGCAGTAGTATTCTTATCACTCTAGCTCTCTCAATACTGTAGGTCTATTGCTTACAGTGACTCACAGTGAATTCTTCTAGGTCCTCTCTCTTTCTTATCTAACCAAATCAGGTAAATACATTTGGTTCCTCTAGCACCCCCTCACTAGAAGGATCTCCCAGGCTTTCAGTCATTTCAGCTGTTCTTTTCTGAACCATCTTCAAGTTTCACTGGTGCTCTTCAGTTTTAGGATTTCTAACTGGACGCAGTCCTCTGAAAAATGCCTGCTTAGAGAAACAGAACTGTTTGTGACTTCAAAATTACATCAAAGTGCTCTTTGAAAAGGTTTGTGAAGCCTTCAGCCTTTCCATTAGTAATAGGAGTGGACTATTATTAGAATGCACTTCTGCACTGATCTTGTTGGGTTTAGTTCTGATTTTGAAGGAGGAAATTACAGGATGTTTCTTTTGACAGGATTGGAATCACAGAAGGTTGTGATGGTTGGTAATGATGTGTTGTCCTCTGTTTAGTACTGACAAAAAGTTGAATTGTTTTACTTTTTTTTTTTCAGTAGAGGAGATAAATTAGACTGAGAAGAAAAATGTTCTGAATTTAAAATAATTTAGAAAGCCAGTATTCTTTCTAATATATATTAGAAAGAATCTATCTCGGCCAGGTGGGGTCACTCATGCCTGTAATCCCAGCACTTTGGGAGGCCAAGGCAGGCAGATCACCTGAGGTTGGGAGTTCAAGACCTGCCTGGCCAACATGGTGAAACTCTGTCTCTACTAAAAATAAAAAGAAAATTAGCCAGGCATGGTGGTGCACACTTGTAATCCCAGCTAGTCGGGAGGCTGAGGCAGGAGAATCACTTGAACCTGGGAGGTTGCAGTGAGCTAAGATTGCACCATTGCACTCCAGCCTGGGCAACAAGAGTGAAAATCCATCTCAAAAAAAAAAAAATAATGAAAGAATCTATCTCATTCTAATATTCTTTCTAATATATATTAGAAAATAATGCACTGAAATATGTATCAAGAAAATACTGTTAAGGCCAAGCGCAGTGGCTAATGTGTATAGTGCCAGCATTTTGAGAGACTGAGGTGGGAGGATTGCTTGAGGCCAGGAGTTCAAGACCAGCCTGGGCAATATGGTGAAACCCCATCTCTACAAAAAATACAAATAATGAGCCAGGCGTGGCAGCAAGCACCTGTAGTCCCAGCTACCCAGGAGGCTGAGGTGGGGGATCACCTGAGTCCGGGAGGTTGAGGCTGTAGTGAGCCATGATTGTGCCACTGCACTTACAGAGTGAGACTTTGTCTCAAAAAAAAAAAAAGAAAGAAAAAGAGAATACAGTTGAAAATACCTTCACTAACCAGAACCTAACTCCCTGGAACCACTACATACATATATGTATGTATGTATATGTATACTTTCTCATGAAAGTATAGAATAAAAAACCAGTTGACCTCAGTGGTTAATAAAAAATCAACTGCTTTTTTCCCCAGATGTTTGTTGGCTGCATGAATGTCTTCTTCTGAGAAGTGTCTGTTCATGTCCTTTGCCCACGTTTTAATTTTTTTTTCTCATAAATTTGTTTAAGTTCCTTGTAGACTCTGGATATTAGACATTTGTCAGATGGGTAGATTGCAAAAATGTTCTCCCATTCTATAGGTTGTCTGTTCACTCTAATGATGGTTTCTTTTGCGGTGCAGAAGCTCTTTATTTAACTAGATTCCATTTGTCTATTTTTGTTTTTGTTGCTCTTGCTTTTGGCATTTTTGTCATGAAATCTTTGCCCATGCCTATGTCCCAAATGGTTTTTATAGTTTTGGGTTTTATATTGAAGTCTTTAATCCATCTTGAGTTAATTTTTGTATAAGGTGTAAGGAAGGAGTCTAGTTTCAATTTTCTGCACATGGCTAGCCAGCTCTCCCAGCACTATTTAGTAAATAGGGAATCCTTTCTCCATTGCTTGTTTTTGTCAGGTTTGCCAAAGATCAGATGGTTGTAGGTGTGCAGGCATATACACCATGGAATACTATGCAGTCATAAAAAGGAATGAGATCATGTCCTTTGCAAGGGCATGGATGGAGCTGGAAGCCATTATCCTCAGCAAACTAACACGGGAACAGAAAACCAAACACTGCATGTTCTCACTTACAAGTGGGAGGTGAACGATGAGAACACATAGACACATAGTGAGGAACACCACACACTGGGGCCTGTTGGGGGGTGTGAGGAGAGAGAAGATCAGGAAGAACAGCTAATGAATGCTGGGCTTAATACCTGGGTGATGGGTTGATCTGTGTAGCAAACCACCATGGTACATGTTTGCATATGTAACAAACCTGCACATCCTGCACATGTACCCTGGAACTTAAAATAAAAGTTGAAGAAAAAAATTAACTGCTAGTATAAGTCAACCCAATGTCTTATTTCACATATATATGACACTGACATATTGATATATACATGTCAATATATATATAATATTGACCTAAAATTTAATCTCAGTAGAAGAAGAGATTATGGTCTGTTTTGCCTCTGCTGTACCCTCAGTCTCTAGAAGAGTACCTGACAAAGGGTAGGCATTCAGTCAAGATTTCTTAAATGGATTGATGAATAAATAAATGAATGAAAATACTATGTTTGGTACTGGAAAAATGAGAAGTGATGTTCAGAATTATGAAGCAGAGGCATCGTGAGGTCTGTAATCATCAACATAATATTAGTTGTGTCACAATGAAACTGTACCTCTTAAACCAGAGCAGTTGTTTTTTAAAGTATTTAGAAATATGCTGACAAAATACTGCATTTTAAAAGGAAAGTTGATTAACTGGAAATATTATTTCGCCAGAATGGTCCACATTTCCAATTAATTGAGGCTTCAAATTTAAAGAAGAAAGAAGCAGACTCTGAGAGGATGAATGATTATATTGGTGCAATTTTTGCATTTGATAGAAAAGCTTTATGAAAATCTCCCCCTCAGCTAGTATGTCCAGATGTTCTGATGAGCTTTGATGTTCCCTTGTGTCATCTTTGAGAACAGACCTCCGTAGTTTAAGCTCCATATTAGTTTTCTTAATTGAAACTAAATAACATTGGCACAGAAGGTCTTGTATGAGCCTTTCAGAGATGTAGAAGATCAGAAGCAGAGAAGGGGAAGGTGGAGATTAGTTGCTAGTTCTAAATTGTGGTTGCAACCTCACAGTAGATAATTGGGCTTTTTACAAAGCAAATTAAGGCAAATTATGGTAATGCTCCAATTCGCAATTTGTATAATCTAGACACAAATTTATGTAATTACTTTTCAAAGTTAAAAATGATAGACAATTGCCTCAGGGCCTGTTGTAAACAATAGTAATGCATTTTTATACATTCAGCATGAAGATAATCAATCTTACGTTCATGACACTGGTACATTTGGAGTCTCATCCCAATTTTCTTTTCTTTTTTTTTTTTTTTTTGAGATGGAGTCTCACTCTGTCGCCCAGGCTGGAGTGCAGTGGCGTGATCACGGCTCACTGCAACCTCCACCTCCTGAGTTCAAGCAGTTCTCCTGCCTCAGCCTCCTGAGTAGCTGGGATTACAGGTGCTCACCACCATGCCCAGCTAATTTTTGTATTTTTAGTAGAGACAGGGTTTCACCATGTTGGTCAGGCTGGTCTCGAACTCCTGACCTTGTGATTTGCCCACCTCAGCCTCCCAAAGTGCTGGGATTACAGGCATGAACCACCGCGCCTGGCCTCATCCCAATTTTCTATGCTTTTTTTCCCTTTATTTTTTGAGATGGAGGCAAGAGCTACATAGGCTACCTGGGCTGTTGCCATTCCATTGTTTGAAAGCATAAGCCTGATGTTATCTGTCCTCACCAGCCCATGAAATTTCCTGAGGCAGCACTCCACCTGCTTAAGTAGTAACTTAGCACTGCCCCCCAACAATGTGTCCCACTTATGCTGGGGACTTTCTACAAGTGGGTGCTTTGCACTTGTCCACATACTAGTCTGTCAAATGCAGTCAGCACATGGCATCCACCGGGTCCTCCTCCCGCTGCACTTCCTGATGCCTGTCTGCCATCTAATCCCTACCACAGCCAACCACCACTGTCTGAGGTGAGGATGCTGGTGTCTACGCCAAAGGTGCTGTATTCTCAGGGTATGAGTGTGGTGTGGGGTTTTGTATAGAGGAAGGGAGAAAGTCTCTCTTTCTAATTCTCTGCTACTCTTGGTCATGTGGGCCCTTAAGCAGATCTGATTACATTTAGAGTCCTTTCTATTCTTCCAGCTTCTGGCCTTTACCCTCTCCTAGAACCTTAAAGTCTCCCAAGAAAATAGATCTGTCAGCATCTGGCACTAATTCCATGGCCAGAATCTCAAACTTTTTTTTTGAGACAGGGTCTTGCTCTATCACCCAGGCTGGAGTGCAGTGACACGATCTCGGCTCACCGCAACCTCCACCTACCGAGTTCAAGCGATTCTCCTGCCCCAGCCTCCTGAGTAGTACAGGTGTGTGCCACCATACCGGGTTAATTTTTGTATTTTTAGTAGAGACAGGGTTTCACCATGTTGGCCAGGCTTGTCTCAAACTCCTGACTTCAGGTGGTCTGCCCACCTTGGCCTCCCAAAGTGCTGGGATTATAGGCATGAGCTACTGCACCTGGCCCAGAACCTCAAACATTCTTTTGGGAACATTCCTCCAGTTTCTAGTTGCCACCCCCCACCCCACCACCAGGCTGGACTAAGGCATCAGTACAACATAGGTGCTATAATCATCATCTCTCCCGTCTCCTTTGAGACATTCTGTCAACCAAACTCATGTCCTCTAATCAGTCACGAAGCAGAAGACTCCAAGTACATCAAAGGTTACATATGGGTTTAGTGTGAGGGTGATTGGAACCACAGTGAGGAATGGGGTGAATGTGTCAGTCACCCCATTAGCAGTCAGTCAGCCAAAATGCTCTCTTATATGAGGAGATATTTCTCTCCAATTTCGCCAATGATGAAATAAAACCTGACAACCTTATTCTCCACACACAACATACTTTCCCTCAGTGAATCATTTAGGTAGGCACTGCCAGTCCTTCCAGTGCTTGGGATTAGTTATCCCTTTGTGGCATTTCCTCATATGCCCCCAGATGAGTACTTGTGTTTATTGGGCACTTTATGACTGGATAGCATCCCCTTCCCTGTCCTCCAGAGCCAGGATGAACACAGCCTAAGCTACTCACTCCTGCTCTGAGGCATCTCAGAGTTCACAGCTGGTGCTTCATATGGGACTGCTCAGTTTATTCCAAGGAGACAGTCCTTTTGTTTTCTCTCTGCTACTTCTTTCTTTACTCAGTCATAATTGTATCTTCCTGCCATCCCCACTGGAGATAGTTTTGACTTCTGGTTTAGTGAAAAATCTGTTTTTCTTCCTATCGTACTCTCAACATTCAATGCTTCTGTGAACAATACATTAGTGGGTTTTTTTTTTTCTCCCCACACTGACCAATATTCCGACACCAGTTGACATTGGAAATAGCGTCAGATCCCAAAGGTTAAGGGCTCAGTCCCATGAGGCTATCCACCACTTCAGATGCCAATTGCAAGTAGTAGGTCCCCAGGTTACCATAACTTCTACTGGACTTGGCTACAAATTGGAGGCTCCTATGACTCCCTTCTCAGGTTCGATAATTTACTAGAATGGCTCATAGAACCCAGGAAAACAGTTTACTTGTTATTGCCAACTTATTAGAAAGGATATTTTAAGAGATACAAATGAACAGCCAGATGGAAGAGATGCATAGGACAAGGTACGGGGCATGCGGCGTGGTCATGCCACCCTCCCAGCACCTCCATGTGTTCAGCAACCCGAAGGTCTCTGAACCCCAGAGGATGGGGAATGGGTCTGAAGTTTCCAAGCTTCTAATCATGGCTTGGTTTTTCTGGTGTCCAGCCTTCATCCAAGAACCTACTGAGGGTTGCCTCATGAGAACAAAAGACACTGTTGTCACCCAGGGATTTCCAAGGGATTAGGAGCTCTGCATCAGGAACTGGGGGAAAAAAACAAATATTAGAAACAAAGATGCACCTAGCACCTCTATTGCTTAGGAAATTACAAGGGTTTTAGGAGCTCTGTGCCAGGAATTGAGGATAAAGACCAAAATATGTATTCCTTATTATAAATCACAATATCGTACTTCTCTTCCTTATGTTTTCCTGATTTTAGTCAGTATGAAATCCAGCCACTTTTTAAGAAGGAAAATATTGAGCAATAATATTATTTAAAGAATCATTGGCTAGGGCATGCCAGTATTAAAAGGAGCAAGCTGGGTGGGATGCCTTCTGCTTGTAATCTCAGTAACTTGGGAGGCTGAGGTGGGAAGATGGCTTAAGCCCAGGAGTTCGAGACCAGTCTGGGCAATGTAGCGACACCCTGTCTCTAAAAAAAAAAAGAAATAAAATTAAAAATAAATAAATAGGCCGGGCACAGTGACTCACGCCTGTAAACCCAGGACTTTGGGAGGCTGAGGCAGGCAGATCACCTGAGGTCAGGAGTTCGAGATCAGCCTGACCAACATGGTGAAACCCTATCTCTACTAATATACAAAATTAGCTGGGCATGGTGGCGGATGCCTGTAATCCTAGCTACTTGGGAGGCTGAGGCAGGAGAATTGCTTAAACCTGGGAGGCTGAGGTTGCAGTGAGCCGAGATTGCACCATTGCACTCCAGCCTGGGCAACAAGAGTGAAACTCCATCTCAAAATAAATACATACATACATACATACATACATACATACTGAAAGAAGTAAACCAAAAGGTTTCTGAATTCTGAAGTGGGATTTCTGTATACTAGAAATTTCTATAACCTGACATTTAGAAATTGTTACAACATTCTAGATAACAACCAAATAAAATTATTAATGAGGTGTGGCTCCCTTGGAAAAAAGCCCTGAATTAATTTAATTCATGGATATAAAGATACTGTGCAAGTTAATATCAATTTGCCACCCCAAATTAACATGAGTCCAAAAGTGAATAAATACTTTTACATTCAACTAGTTTTTGTTGTCCAGATATTATGAGCACTTTTGCACTTTGCATCTAGGATAATGTACATCTCTAGATTATAATTCTAAGATAAAGCCAGCACCATATTTTAACTGTAAATATTCTACTCAACTAGCAATTCTACCTCTTTTACGATTTGTGATTCACTTTTTCTATTCTAAATATCAAAAATGCAGAATTATAGGAATTTGAAGAGGGATATTATAAGGGTGTTTAAAAATAATTATAGATGTATATTATCTAGATATATATGGTATATAGTTATTACATGTTATACATGTTATAAGTCACAATACTCAGCATTACTTATCAAGGCTTACTATCCATCTGACACCTTGCCACGTCTTTACCTACATTATCTCATTTGAAGTACAGAGAGTTTTAATTCCCATTTTACAGATGAGGAAACTAATGCTCAGTGATGCTAAGTAACTTGCTCAAGTTAATAGTCTAAGTGGGAGACCCAGGATTTGAACTTGCATCTCTCTGACCCCAGGAGTTATGCACTTAACCTCTATGCTCTGATGTAGAAAAGGCAGAGAACCACTTAAAAAAAATTAAATTCCAGATGTGCAAAAGTATATATAAATTACTTTTGTATCCTTTTACAAAACTGTCATATTCATTAATTTTAGGCATGGGAATAAAAAAGGTAAATGCTGGAATAGATGAGGCGCTAAGAGCAAGAGGACCTGAGGCATACCAGGACCAGTGGGTAGAGTATGCCAATGCACAGCCAAAAGAAGCAGAAGTCTTGATGGTACTTCAGATTAAATTTGGGTTAAAGAGCTTAATTTGATTCCCCTAACATTTTATTTATTTATTTATTTATTTATTTTGTTTGTTTGTTTGTTTTGTTTGTTTTTTTTTTTTGGATTGAGTCTCACTCTATAGCCTAGGCTGGAGTGCGGTAGCGCAATCTCCGCTAACTGCAACCTCCACCTCCCAGGTTCAAGCGATTCTTCTGCCTCAGCCTCCCGAGTAGCTGGAATTACAAGCATGCGCCACCATGCCTGGCTAATTTTTGTATTTTTCCTAGAGCCAGGTTTTCTCCATGTTGGCCAGGCTGGTCTTGAATTCTTGGCCTCAAGTGATCCACCCTCCTCCGACTTCCAAAGTGCTGGGATTACAGGCGTGAGCCACCTCAGCCGGCCATATTTTTTTATAGAGACAGAGTCTCACTATGTTTCCCAGGCTGATCTCAAATTCCTGGGCTCAAGTGATGGGCCTGCCTCGGCTTTCCAAAGTGCTGGGATTACAGGTGTGAGCCACCATGCCTGGCCCCTCCCTAACATTTATTAAACTTGTTTGCTGGCCACCATGCTAGACACTTTTGCATACATATTTATTTTAATTGATCTGAATAAGAATAGTCTTCAAAGCATCCGCAGCATTTACCACAGACATTTTCCTCAGCCTTTTAAAACATATGAAACACCTGAGAAATATTTATGAGCCTCGTATAATCATTTTTTTAAAGATCTGAAATCTCTCCTTTTAGATTAATACTTAAACAATTGATGAAGATAATCTCTCTTATCTGGGCATTACATTTTTCTTCTGGTACTTCAAAGATTAATCATAATCATCCTAAAATTAGTGACTACGAATCTTTGGCAGGATGGCCCAACTTCCGTTATAAATATCATAGACATTTTGCTTTTTTATCCCACCATGTTTAAGAAAAAAAAAAAAGTATGTGTTTATGTACAGAATTAAGGAGCTAACAGGCCGGGCATGGTGGCTCACACCTGTAATCCCAGCACTTTGGGAGGCTAAGGCGGGCAGATCACGAGGTCAAGAGATCGAGACCATCCTGACTAACACGGAGAAACCCTGTCTCTACTAAAAATACAAAAATTAGCTGGGCGTGGTGGCGGGCGCTTCTAGTCCCAGCTACTCGAGAGGCTGAGGCAGGAGAATCGCTTGAACCCAGGAGGTGGAGGTTGTAGTGAGCCAAGATTGTGCCACTGCACTCCAGTCTGGCAATAGAGGGAGACTCTGTCAAAACAAAGAAACATACAGGAGATAAATGATTCTGAACTTCGAAAAAGTTACTTTAAGTTACATATCAGGTTTTGAAGGAATCTACAACTTTTCTGGTGGTTGGTTTTTTCCTTCTACTACCCGCCATAGTTTAATCATCCGATTTAATGCCTGATAGGTCATTCTGTGACACTTTCTATGTCTCCTACATGGCTGCTCTGAGTCAAAAGTGTGAAGGAAATCTTGAGTTTCTTCTTCATTGTCTCAGTTGATTTTCTCCTCTTTATTGTCCTGTCTTCCCCATTGCCTTTTTCAACAACTTGTCTCTCAAAAAATGGCCCTCACAAACACACAAAAACATTTTGGTACCTTCTCAGCCTTGTCTGTTTCAAAATGATTTCTCCTTGTCACATTCTTAACCTCTTTCCCTCAACAACATTGCTGTTTCCTCTAGGCTAGGCAGCTGATCTGAGCAGGATCTCAGGAGACAGTTCCTTCCCAACACAATACCACTAGGAAAGGAAGAGAGGTTCTGTCCTGTGCCAGTTCTTATCTTTTACACATATGATCTCCTAATAAGAGATCTGGAGGAAGGCATAGCTATCTCCATTTTACAGGATCAGGGTCAGAAAATTAAGCAGTTTGCCCAAGTTCATAAAGCTAGGAAATGCCCAGTTGGCATTAGTTCATGCTAATTCACTTTGAGCCACAAAATTCATGCTATTTCACTATGTCATCTTGCTTTCTACCACATTCAGAATCAAACTCAAAATTTATCAGTCTAGCAATCATAGATTTCCTTGATCAGAATTTCTTTTTGAGATAGGGTCTCACCCTGTCACCCAGGCTGGAGTGCCATGTGCCATGGTGCAATCTCGGCTCAGTGCAGCCTCTGCTTCCAAACAACAATAACAAAAGAACTGAAAAATAACCAAAAAAAAAAAAAAAAAAAAAGCAACCCACGACTTTTTAACTGAACAAGCAAGTGGGTGAACTGAAGAAGATGATTTATGCTGGGTTCAAATTAGTAGCCTGAAAGAACAATTGGAAGAAGTATCTCAAAATAAGGAGCAATAATTCAAAGAGGCAGAAATCATGAGCAAAAAGATAGCAGACTTGGAAGAAAGATCCAGGAGACCTACATGCAAATATCAGAAAAACATAAGAGCACAGATCAAGGAGAGGCAAAGTTAGTTAAAATTAGATTTATTCAAGTCAGCAGATGGAAATGTATTACCAAGGTCCACACACTTAGACATATTCTGGTAAGATTTCTGAACTCCAAGGATTAAGACAAATCTTATAAATACAGAGACAGAAAGATCAACTATGCAAATATCTATCTATAGACACATACATATACATATAGAAGAGGAAGAAGAAGAAGAGGAAGAAGAGGAAGAAGAAGAAGAAGAAAAGAAGAAGAAGGAGAAGAAGAAGAAGAAAGAAGCAGCAGCAGAAGAAGAAGAAGAAGAGGAAGAAAAAAAGAAGAAGAAGAAGAAGAAACGTTAGACTGATACAGGACTGTGTCATCTACAACTCAGGAGCTAATAAAAATTACTAATATCAGAGAGAAAAGAACTACAATCCAAGAATTTTATATCTGAGGCAAGATATTATCTTTCTTTTATCAGGAGAAAAACTATATTTGTGGCTATGCAAGAATTCATAGAAAATATCATCCTCCTATTCCATCTTAGGGAAACCAGGTCAGAGTAGAAGATGAAGAGAGGAAACAAAAATGGCAAGCAGTATAGCTTGCAGTAAGTAAAGTTAGATGCAAATAGGTGTTAACAAAGTGAGATTAATATAATAGCTAAATAAGCAATCTTTAAAAAGAAGAATTTACTGCAAGAGAAATCTAATAATAGCTTAGAACCCAAAGTATTAAGCCATATCAGCAAAAAAAGTATTTGAAAGTAGAATAGGGCCAGGCACGGTGGCTCACGCCTGTAATCCCAGCACTTTGGGAGGGCAAGGTGGGCGGATCACCTGAGGTCTGGAGTTCTAGACCAGCCTGACTAATATGGAGAAACCCCATCTCTACTAAAAATACAAAATTAGCCGGGCGTGGTGGTGCATACCTGTAATCCTAGCTACTCAGGAGGCTGAGGCAGAGCAATCGCTTGAACCCGGGAGGCGGAGGTTGCAGTGAGTCGAGATGGTGCCATTGCACTCCAGCCTGGGCAATAAGAGCAAAACTCCGTCTCAAAAAAAAAAAAAAAAAAAGGTAACCTGGCAGGAAGAATGGAGAAGTAAAGGTATTCAAAAGTCTCATTTATTGGTGGGAACAGTGAAAAAAAGAGTGATTTGGTTGAAAGGAAAAAGCATGTGGATTTCATATGATAGTCCAGAAACTTGTGTGTGATGATAAGGGAAGATAATTAATAAGAAAATGAGAATGTAGAGCAACCTGAACAAATCAGCAAAAATGAAGAAAGAAAAAAGAGGAAATGCAAAGTAAGACCAAAGATAAATATTAAATAAGATAGAATGAATAAAACAGTTGTTATACTTAACATGAATGGGCTAAATTTTCTATTGAAAAACAGAGACTGGCAGGTTGGGTTAAATAACAAAATTAAGCAATACACTGTTTATTGGTTTTTTAATGCTTAAAACAAAGTGAGTTTTTTAAAGACTGAAAAATGAAATGGACAAAGAGATATCACAAAGAGAAAGGAGAAGTTCATATTAATACCAGGTGGGCAGAATTTAAGCTTAAAACCACCAATGAAATTAAAGATGAGTAATATCCGGGAGGGAGGTGGGGGGCGCCTCCGCCCGGCCGCCGCCCCATCCGGGAGGTGGGGGGCGCCTCTGCCCGGTTGCCCTGTCCGGGAAGTGAGGAGCCCCTCTGCCCAGCCGCCACCCCGTCTGGGAGGTGTACCCAACAGCTCATTGAGAACGGGCCATGATGACGATGGCGGTTTTGCCGAATAGCAAAGGGGGAAATGTGGGGAAAAGAGAGATCAGATTGTTACTGTGTCTGTGTAGAAAGAAGTAGACATAGGAGACTCCATTTTGTTCTGTACTAAGAAAAATTCTTCTGCCTTGGGATGCTGTTAATCTATAACCTTACCCCCAACCCCGTGCTCTCTGAAACATGTGCTGTGTCCACTCAGGGTTAAATGGATTAAGGGCAGTGCAAGATGTGCTTTGTTAAACAGATGCTTGAAGGCAGCATGCTCCTTAAGAGTCATCACCACTCCCTAATCTCAAGTACCCAGGGACACAAACGCTGTGGAAGGCGGCAGGGCCCTCCGCCTAGGAAAACCAGAGACCCTTGTTCACGTGTTTATCTGCTGACCTTCCCTCCACTATTGTCCTATGACCTTGCCAAATCCCCCTCTCCGAGAAACACCCAAGAATGATACTAAAAAAAAAAAAAAAAAAAGATGAGTAATATACAATGATAAAAAGAACTTTTTTTTTTTTTTGAGACAGGGTCTCACTTTGTTGCCCAAGCTGAAATACAGCGGCATGATAATAGTTCACTGCAGCCTTGAACTCCTGGGCTCAAGCGATCTTCCTATCTTGGCCTCCCAAAACACTAGGATTACAGGCATCAGTCACCATGCTGGGCCAAAAAGTACAATTTAGGTAAAAGATATACTAGTAATTACTTTGTATGTATTAGATACAGCAGCTAAATATATAAAGTGTTAGAAATGCAAGGAGAACTTCATTTAGAAATATATACGATATATGTCTTTCAGAATTCTCCAAATCCAATGGGGCAAAAAATAGTAATAATGACAAACAGAAATTAAACAGTAAAACTATTGAAATGATGGGGTTTAGGACATACTACCCCAAAATATGGCAGCTTGCCATATTGAATATTTTAAGCTGAAGGAATCTGAAAAATGGCAGGTACAGAAAGGACACTCTGACACTTTCTTCTCCCCTGAAATACGACATAAGACCCTCACATGAGAGGTACCTTCCTGATACTCAGAGAGAAGGACACCTTTATCACCGAAGATGGGAAGATGGAGGGATGTTGAGAGGAATTCAAACAAATAGGCCTTGCTAAGTTTCCTCCAGTTTGCTATCCTAGCTCAAACCCTCTCTGCCCTATCATATTTTTCCACAACTTTCTACTCTTTGTCAAACCTAGTATAAAAATACTCAGGGTTAACTGTTTCTTTAGGTCTTCATTTCCACTTCTGTGTTATGTAAAACAGATTTTAAATAAATTTGTATTCTTTTCTCTTGTTAATCTGTATCTTACAGCCCCAGCAAACAACCTAGAAGTGAGAAGATATTTTTCCTCCCCTACAATATTAAACCATATATCCTTTGAGTAGAAAGTATTAAGTAGAAAATATTCATATTTTTGCATGTTCATGGAGTATTTATGACATTTGGTCATACTCTTGGTTGAAAAAACTTAACTTTTTTTTAAAGGTCAATTTTACAGGTTATATTCTCTAATAAAACTCAGAAATAAGAAAAAAAGAATGACAAAAATTCTAAATACTTATGAAAAAACAACAACACTTCAATAAAGTAACAACACTTTAATAGCTCTGGGTCAAAAAGAAAATAAAAACCAAAATTCAAAATTATTTCAAAGCAATGGCAAGAACTACTATTTATGTCAAACCAAGAAGACATATGGAAATCTATGAGAGGAATATTTGTAGCTTTAAGTGCCTTTGCCATTAAAGATTAAGAGCTGAAAAGTAAAGAACAATACTCATCTTTAGGAAATTAGAAAAAGAAAACAAAACCAAGTGGAAAGATTAAAATAGTGAAGAAGGAAAATAATGAACAAGAAAGCAAAATAATAAGTAAAAGAGCAGAAAGGATAAATAGACCTAAAAAGGAAAATCAATAGAAGCCTGACTAAGAGAAACATACACAAGATAAGAAATAAGAGAGAGACAATCAAATATAAGACACTGAAAACATTATAAGAGAATATTAGATTCAACGGCAACATTTCAAAAAACCTACAGGGAATAAATGATGTTCTTGCAAAATATAAGCTAACACAATTGACCCAAGAAGAAACATAAAACTTGGGTAGATCAAATGCTACAGAAGAGACAGAAGGAGGCTTAAAAGACCTACTCTCTAAAAAATCACCAGGACCAGATAGATTGTGATAAGTTCTAGCTGATCTTTAAAAACACACAAGTAAACCAGGTAATTCATATGGAACTGGTACTTTTCCAGAATATAGAAAAAGCAATCTCTGGCCTCTCCTTTTTTCTCTTCATCATTTTTCCTGTCTTTAATGTTAGTGTCCCCATCTACCTCACCCAAATATTTTGGCTCATTTAACTGTCTTCACAGACTTGCTGGTTTCAACATCGCTACTCCTTGCCCCTTTCCCGACCACCTTCCCTCATCAAAATGTCTGCCTCCTCTGGCAGCTGGTCAAGCTGGGCCTTAGGAGAGCAATGTTGGCCTGCCCAGGTACTGCTCGAGAGTTTTACTCTGGAGGTGCTCTTTTGAGCTAGAAGGCCCATCTTCCCTCCATGGAGAACACTGACTCCCTCTCTGGGCTCTGCTGTTTTTAGCCTTCCTATAACAGAATACCAACTCAAAATGTCCTAAACAATAAGAGAATTTATTATCTTAAGTAATTCGATCGATTCCATGGTTCAGCAATATCATCTAGAATCCAGCTTCGTTCTCTGTGCTGCTATTTATGACACTCACTTCATTGTAGGGTTGCTTTTCCTCATTGTCATAATATGGCTACCAGCACAACTGGGTACACGTGTGTCCTTGTCCATGTGCAGGATTCAAAGACAACTGGCTCTTTCCCCTGACAACTCTGGTGAAACACACCTCACATTTCTTTAGCCCAATCACAGGTAGGTGACACAGTTGGCTTTGAGTGATCATCTGAGGAAAGACTGTTGGAGAGACAGCCACAATGCCCTTTTCAGTTCCCACTTCATTTTCCTAGTTGGTCAGCAGGGAAATCCAGCACTGACCCCTAGGAATGCCCAACAGATATGGAATTTGTCACCACAAAGGGTACCAAGATATGCTACACCCCCCAAAATATGCCTTTTTGTTACGTTGAATATTTTAGCTAAAGGCCATCGAGACCAACAGACACAGAAAAAGCTCTAAAAATAGGGCACAAATTTTCCTTTAATAAAGAAAATTTAGAACATTTCCATCTTTAAAGATATCTCCTTTTCCCTTATGGAGAAGAGGACTCAATAACTCTTATCAATGGAGAAAGCACTAAACAATCCTTGTTTACCATACTTTTCTTGGTCACCTTCCTGTAACTTGCCTCCTGACCTAGAAGTCCCAAATCCCTTTTCCTTTATTTTGCTAAAAATGGAATACCGTAAAAGCCTTAACCATCTGGCTGCCTCCTTGAGGAACATTTTTCTTTATAAACTCTGGTGTTACGTATGTAGCTATGTACATAATTAAAACTGTTTTTTTCTCTTGTTAATCTGTCTGTTATTTGTTTGATTCATGGACTCCAAGCCAATGAACCTAAGAGGGGTAAATAAAAAAAATATTTTTTTCTACTCTGATAACCAATAGAAAAATTAATGCTTTGACACAGGAGATGCTTTTATTATTATTATTATTTTTACCACACCTCATCTTGATTAGTTACTTGTTTGTAGAAAGACTTCCCTCTTTGATTCTTTTGTTTTACAGCAGGAATGATTGAGATGAGCAGAGCATCATTTCAAATTCTCTCATAAGACTGGATTGTAAATCACTTACTGTCAAGACGGTGGCCAGTTGCCATTCAACTATAATTAATTCATACACTATTGCTATTGACATGTTTCTCAGGTGAGTGAAAAGTTTCTATGCCTCTGTATTTTAATTGGTTTAGCTCAAGTTTTTGGCTAAATGTGTTAAAGAAAAACAAAGCCAGTTAAAGCTAGTTAAAGATTATAAAGACAAACCAGTATGGAACTGAGCTCAACTCCAATCCATATAGAGGCTACTGGGCATTTTAAAGGGAGAATGAGGGAGTGAAGAGAGAGAAACTGCCCGGCTCAACCAAAGTCATGGAAGTGAAAAATTACAATTATTGGGTAAAAGGGTTTGGCCAATGTGATTAGACCGTCTGGGTTTGTTAACTAGTGCTTATCAAAGTTAAGCTCTTACCCTCCCACAGAGCCTGGGAGACAGGGGCCAAGTCTTCAGATGTTGGCTAGAACAAACAGTAAATTTTTCAACAACCTTGAGATTTCCCAGACAGGAACTTGAGGAGGGCTGGGTTGACCCCGGGTCAGGGCTTGAGCTATGCTAGCGTTTAATCAAGTCTCGTGGTGGGGGAGTGGGCATGACAAAATCATTTGTGATGAGAGGAAAGAACAGTTCTCAGATGTAGCCTAAAGAAATCACACTACAGTAATGATTTTAATATTATAGCTGTTGACATATGATTCTGCTTGGTCACTAAATTTATAATTTCACCTACTAATATAAAGTCAAATTAATACTGTGTATTGAACTTTTAATTGAATAGAGGACTAATGTGCACATTATGCCTCTGTCATCCCTGAATACATTCTTATGTAACAGAATAACAAAACCGGCTCCAAAGACAGCCTTAAATCCACTATTTGGAAAAACTTTTTTAAATGGAAGAACAAGATTTTGTGTCAAATAGTCAACATTTGTCCATTAGCTTTAAGTGATCGTAGAAAATCATGGAGTTAGTAATAAAAGCCTATATAGACATTTGAACAAGTAAATTAAATACAGAATAGAACTTTTTAGCCTTGTGAATTCTTTCATTGTAGAAACATTATTAAAACAACTGACAATAAATAATATATGTTCTCTCTGGAGTTGTTAAAATAATATGTGCCAAATTAGCTCTCAGAATCTTTCCCCATGCACATTCACTCTTTAGGAACATATAAGTGAAAATGTAAAAATTTTTATAAAGCTGACAAAAATGAAAAGCAATTCTAGTAAAACTGCCCATCATTCATTCATTATTGGCTGTAAAATAGTGGTGTCTTTGCAACCACAGGCAGTACTATGTGGAATAATTTGCTATAGGGAAATGGAGTAAATGTTTTGCTAACTCAGATATGCCTCTGGTGGGTTTGTTCTATACTGCATGCTGAAAGTCCAAAAGGAGAAAAATGTTGTCTTATTACAAACCACAGTTTGGACTTAGAAGATGACAGTAGAAAATTGAGCAAAATAATCCCAGTTGGGAATTTGCAAACCCTAGCTCAAAGGAGCCCCTCCAGGGTAAAACTCTCAAGCAGTACCTGGGCAGGCCAACATTGGTCTCCTAAGGCCCAGCTTGACCAGCTACCAGAGGAAGCCAGAGGAAGCCTAGGAGATCAGAATGGTTTCAGGGGACAGTTCCAACTATTCCCCATAGGCACACTGCCCAGGGTTTCCTCAGGACCTGCTCACTACATCCTGGCTATTTCAGCCAATTCATTGTGACTCAACTAGCCACATAAACAGCTTGGGCTGCTGCTTCAAAGGATACAAGCCATAAGCCTTGGCAGCATCGAGGTCCACATGGCATTAATTCTGCAGGCATGCAAAATGCCGGAGTGATGGAGGTGTGGAGGCTTCCACCTAGATTTCAGAGGATGTAATGGAAAGCCTGGGAGCCCAGGCAGAAACCTGCCACAAGGGTGGAGCCACCAGAGGAGCTCCCACAGGGGCAATGCCTAGTGGATCTGTGGGAACATGGCCACTGTCAAGACCACAGAATTGTACAGCTACTGGCAGTGTGAAACACTTACCTGGGAAAGCTACAGGCACCAGACTCCAAGCCATGCAGCAAGGCCATTGAGGTGGGGCTTTCTGAGGCCTTGGGGACCCAGTCCCCATACCAGTGTGTCCAGGAGGCAGCACATGGAGTGAAAGATTATTTTGGAGCACTAAGATTTAATTGTCTGCCCTGCTGGTTTTAGATTTGTATAGGGCCTGTTCTTCCCTTCTCTTGGCCTATTTTTCCCTTTTGGAGTGGGAATGTTTACCCAATGTCTGTCTCACCATTGTATCTTGAAAGTAAATAAGTTTTAAAAAAAAATTTCACAGGCTCTCAGATGAGACTTTGGACTTTTGATTTGGTGATGGAGCACATTAAGACTTTTGAAACTATTGGGAACAAGTGTTTCTATTTTGTATGTGAGAAGAACATGACTTTTGGGGCATGGGACAAAATGCTATGGTTTAGATGTGGTTTATTACTCTCAAAACTCTTGTTGAAATTTGATCCCCAGTTTGGCATTGTAGGGGGGTGAGGCCTAGTGGGAGGTGCTTGGGTCACAAGGATTAATCCCTCATAAGTAGATTAATTCCCTTCCATAGGAGTGGGTGAGTTGTTGCTCTCACAGAATGGAATTATTTACCAGAAAGCATGTTGTTACAGTAGAGGGTTTTGCTTCCTAGACTCTCTTGTTTCCTCCCTCATCATGTGATCTCTTTGTACATGCCTGCTCACTTTTCTGCTTCTCCACCATGTTTTTAGCCAGAATGTAGCCTCACCAGAAGTTGGGTGCTATGTTGTTGAACCTCACAACCTACATAATTGTGAGCTAAATAAATCTCTTTTCTTTATAAACTATCCAGCCATAGGTATTCTGGTATAGCAACACCAAATGGACTAAGACAAGGGGGAAGAAAACACATGATTATCTCAATTGATATAGAAAAAGCATTTGACAAAATTCAACAGCCTTTCATAATTAAAAAACAAGTCAACAAACTAGAAATAGAAGGAAACTGCCTCAGTATAATAAAAGCCATATGTGAAAAAACTCACTATTAACATAAAACTAAATGGTGAAAGACTGAAAGCTTTTTCTCTAAAATCAGGCACAAAGCAATGATGCCTACTTTTGCTACTTCTATTCAACATAGAACTGGAAGTTGTAAACACAGTATTTAGGCAAGAAAAAGACATAAAAGACATCCAAATCAGAAAGAAAAAAGTAGAATTGTCTCTGTTCACAGATGATATAATCTTATATGTTGAAAACCCTAATTCATCAAAAAACTGTTAGAAGTAATAAATAAATTCAGCAAAGTAGCAGGATACAAAGTCAATGCACAAAATTCAGTTGCATTTCTATACACTAAAAATGAACCATCTGAAAAGAAAATTCTAAAAACAATTTCATAGCATCAAAAAGAATTAAATACTTACATACTAACAAGTGAGAAAAAATGTAAATATTGAAAACTACAAAACATTGCTAAAAGAAATTAAAGAAGACATCAATAAATAGAAGACATCCCATGTTCATGGATTGAAAGACTTAATATTGTTGAGATGTCAGTGCTTCCCCAAGTCATCAACAGATTCAATGCAATCCCTATTAAAATTCCAAAGATAGATATTCAGAAATAGAAAAACCCATCCTAAAATTCATAGGCAATCTTAGGTGGTCCCTGAATAGCCAAAGCGATCTTGCAAAAAAACAAAGCTGGGTGTAATACAATTTGGATATTTGTCCCTTGCAAATCTCATGTTGAAATGTGATCCCCAATATTGGAGGTAGGGCCTAGTGGAAGGTATTAGGGTCATGGTCGTAGATGCCTTATTAATGGCTTGGTGCCATCCTTGCAGTAATGAGTGCGTTCTTGTTCTATGAGTTACCATAAGATCTGCTTGTTAAAAAGAGTCTGGCCTCTCCCTCCTCTCTCTCTTTCTTGTTGCCTCTCTCACCATGTAGCATGCCTGCTCCCTCTTTGCCTTCCATCATGATTTTAGGCTTCCTGAGGCCCTCACCAGAAGCAGATATTGGCACTATGCTTCTTGTATACTCCGCAGAATTGTGAGCCAAAATAAACCTCATTTCTTTATAAATCACCCAACCTCTGGTATTTCTTTACAGAAATGCAAAGTAAACTTCTTGTACACACTGCAGAACTGTGAGCCAAAATACACTTCGTTTCTTTATAAATTCACCCAATCTCAGGTATTTCTTTATAGAAATGCAAAACAGATTTCTTGTACACTCTGCAGAACTGTGAGCCAAAATACACCTCATTTCCTTGTAAGTCACCCAACCTCAGGTATTTCTTTTATTTTTTTTTTAAGTATACTTTAAGTTTTAGGGTACATGTGCACAATGTGCAGGTTTGTTACATATGTATACATCTGCGATGTTGGTGTGCTGCACCCATTAATTCATCATTTACATTAGGTATATCTCCTAATGCTATCCTTCCCCCCCCCACCACCCCACAACAGGCCCCAGTGTGTGATGTTCCCCTTCCTGTGTCCATGTGTTCTCATTGTTCAATTCCAACCTATGAGTGAGAACATGCGGTGTTTGGTTTTCTGTCCTTGCAATAGTTTGCTGAGAATGATGGTTTCCAGCTTCATCCATGTCCCTACAAAGGACATGAATTCATCCTTTTTTATGGCTGCATAGCATTCCATAGTGTATATGTGCCACATTTTCTTACTCCAGTCTATCATTGTTGGACATATGGGTTGGTTCCAAGTCTTTGCTATTGTGAATAGTGCCGCAATAAACATATGTGTGCATGTGTCTTTACAGCAGCATGATTTATAACCCTTTGGGTATATACCCAGTAATGGGATGGCTGGGTCAAATGGTATTTCTAGTTCTAGATCCTTGAGGAATCGCCACACTGTCTTCCACAATGGTTGAACTAGCTTATAGTCCCACCAATGGTGTAAAAGTGTTCCTATTTCTCCACATCCTCTCCAGCACCTGTTGTTCCCTGACTTTTTCGTGATTGCCATTCTAACTGGTGTGAGAAGGTATCTCAACCTCAGGTATTTCTTTATAGAAATGCAAAACAGACTAATATAAAAGGATTCACACTTCCTGATTTCAAAACTTACTATACAGTTATAGTAATCAAAACACTGTGGTACTAGCATAAAGTCACACATATCCACCAATGAAATAAAAGAGAGAGCCCAGAAACATACCCTCACATATGTGGTGAAATGATTTTCAATAACGGTACTAAGATAATTCAATGGGGAAAACACCATTTTTTTAACAAATTGTGCTAGAAAAGTGGATATTCACATACAAAAGAATACCCAGTTTTCTGACACCATATGTCGCCTTATCTAACACCATATATAAAAATTAACTAAAAATGGATCAAAGATTGTCTTTGACTGCTTTGTGTTGCTATAACAGAATAACTGAGACTGAGTGATTTATAAAGAAAAGTTGACTTAGCTCATGGTTCTGCAAGCTGGTAAGTTCAAGAAAGATAGTGCCAGCATTCATCTGGCTTCTGGTGAAGGCTTTTGTTGCATGTGTTGCAATGCAACCTGGTGGAAGGTCAAAGGGGAAGTGGAAACATGTCAAGAGGCAAAACCTGAGGGGCATTCTGGCTTTATAACAACTCACTCTTGTAGGAACTAATCCATTCCTGCTAGAAGCAATTCAGTATTGTCAGAATGAGAGCACACTCACTACTGCAAGAACAGAACCGAACCACACACAAGGGCAGAGTCCTCATGACCCAGATACCTCCCATTAGGCTCCACCTCTTAGAGGTTTCACTTCCCAACATTGCCACAAAGGGAATTAAGGTTTCAATATGAGTTTTAGTGGGGAAAAACCATATTCAAACATAGCAAATAACTAAATGTAAAATCTAAAACTGTAAAAGTCTTAGAAGAAAATATGAAAATAGCATCAAAACATTGGATTTGTCACTGATTTCTTGGATAAGACATGAAAGATGCTGGCTGGGTATTGTGGCTCATACATACTCCCAAAGTGGCTCAGCACTTTGGGAGGTTGAAACATTGAAGATTGCTTGAGCCCAGGAGTTCAAACCAGCCTGAGCAATGAGTAAGACCCTATCTCTACAAAAATATTTGTTTAAAAAATTAGCTGGACATGGTGGTGCATTCCTATAATCCTAGCTACTCAGGAGGCTGAGACAAGAGGATTGTGCTTGAGGCCAAGTGTTCGAGGCTTCAGTGGGCTGTGATTGCACCACTGTACTCCAACCTGGGTGACAGAGAGTGATCCCATCTCAAAAAAAAAAAAAAAAAAAAAAAAGAAAAAGAAAAAGAAAAAGAAAGAAAAGAAAAGAAAAACAGCCAACAACAACAAAATAAACAAATTGGACTTCATGAACATTTAAAAATTTTGCAAGCAAAAAGAACAATGCTGGAGGCACCACACTACCTGACTTCAAGATATATTTCAAGGCTGTAGTAAACAAAATATCATGATATTGGTATACAGACAGACACACAGGCCAATGGAACAGAGTAGAGAACCCAGAAATAAATCCACGTATTTGCAGCCAACTGATTTTTGACAAAGGTGCCAAAAACATACACTGAGGAAAGGACATTGTCTTCAATAAATGGTGCTAGAAAAATTTGATATCTATATGTGGAAGAATGAAACTAGACCCCTATCTCTCACCACATACAAAAGTCAACTCAAGATGGATTATAGACTTAAACATAAGATCCGAAACTATAAAACTACTAGAAGAAAACATAGGAGAAACATTTTAGGACGTTGGTTTTGACAAATATTTTATGATTAAGACCTCAAAAGTACAGGCAACTGAAACCAAAAATAGACAAATGTGACTATACTAAACTAAATAGCTTCTGTACAGCAAAGGAAACAATCTACAGAGTGAAGAGACAATCCACAGAATGGGAGAAAATATTTGCAAAATGTTCATTCAATAAAGGACTAATATCCAGAATATACAAGGAAAACCGAGAGCTCAACAGTAAAAAAAAAGAAAATCCTATTAAAAAGTGGGCAAAAACCATGAATAGACATTTCTCAAAAGAAGACACACAAATGGCCAACAAAATGCTCTACATCACTAATCATCAGAGAAATGCAAACAAAAACCACAATGAGATATCATCTCATCCCAATTAGA
Source organism: Homo sapiens (assembly GCF_000001405.40). Taxonomy (NCBI): domain Eukaryota; kingdom Metazoa; phylum Chordata; class Mammalia; order Primates; family Hominidae; genus Homo; species Homo sapiens. The sequence goes on along the minus strand of NC_000012.12, from coordinate 47,159,437 downwards.
ATAGTTATTATCAAAAGACAAAAAATAACTAATGCTGGCAAGGATGAAGAGAAAAGGGAACTCTTATACACTGTAGGTAGGAATATCAATTAGTACAGCCATTACGGAAAACAGTAGGGAGATTTCTCAAAAAAACTAAAAATAGAACAACTACCATACAATCCAGCAGTCCCACTACTTGGTATTTATCCAGAGGAAAAGAAATCAGTATATTAAACGGATACCTGCACTCCCATGTTTACTGCAGTATTCACAATAGCAAGAATGTGGAATCAACCTAAGTGTCCATCAGTGGATAAATGGATAAATAAAATGTGGCATATATACATAATGGAATACTATTCAGCTGTAAAAAAATAATAAAATCATGTCATTTGCAGCAATATGAATGGAATGGGACTTATGTTAAGTGAGATAAACCAGGTTCAGAAAGACAAATATTGCATGTTCTTACTCATACGGGAGAGCTAAAAAAGTTCATGGAGATAGAGAGTAGAAAGATAACAGAGGCTATGTGTGGGTGGGGGCAGGAGATAAAGAGAGGTTGGCTAATGAGTACAAACACAGAAGGAATAAGTTTTAATGTTCAATAGCAGAGTAGGGTTACTATAGTTAATAACAATGTATTGCATATTTCAAAATAGCTAGAAGACTTGAAATGTTCCCAACACATAGAAGTGATAAATACTTGAGGTGATGGACACCCCAGTACCCTGACTTGATTATTACAGTCTATGCATGTAACAAAATATCACCTGTACCTCATAAATATGTACCAATATTGTCTATCAATAAAAATTGTGCATCAAAAGACAGTATCAACAGAGTAAAATACAACCCACAGAATGGAAGAAAATATTTGCAAATGATATATCTGATAAGGGATTGATATCTGAAATATAAATGGAACTCATAAAACTGAACAACAAAAAAGCAAACAACCCAATTCAAAAATGGGCAAAAGACTTTATAGGCATTTCTTCAAAAATATGCAAATGGCCAGTAAGGACATAAAAAGATGCTCAACCTCACTAATCATCAGGGAGATGCAAATCGAAAACTGGAAAGGGAGACCACCTCGCACCCATTAGGATGGCTACTGTAAAAAACAAAACAAAACAATTCCAGAAAATAACAAATGTTAAGCAAGGATATGGAGAAATTGGAACCCTTGTGCATTGTTGGTGGAAATGTAAAATGGTATGGTTGCTGTGGAAAACAGTCACAAACTGAAGAATTACCATGATCTAGCGATTCCACTTCTGGGAACACACACAAAAAAATTGAAAGCAGAGATTCAAAGAAATGTTTGTATAGCCATGTTCATAGCAGCATAATTCATAACAGGTAAAATGTGGAAGTAACCCTATTATTCATCAACAAATATATTCATCAACAAATAAATAGATAAGTGAAATGTGGTACATACATACAATTGAAAATTATTCAACCTTTAAAGGAAGGAAATCCTGACACATGCTACAACATGGATGAACTTGAGGATATTGTGTTAAGTAAAACAAGCCAGCTACCAAAAGACAAATACTGATTCCATTTATTTGAGATACTTATAAGTCAAAATCATAGAGACAGAAAGTGGTATACTGGTTGTCAGGAACTAGCAGAAGTGGGGAATGGAGAGTTATTCTGTAACAGGTACAGAGTTTCAGTTTTACAAGATTAAAATAGTTACAGAGATGGATCCTGGTGATAGTAGCACATTATGGGTGTATTTAACACACCTTTACACTGATCTATACATTAAAAAATGGTTAAGATGATACATTTTATGTTACATATATTTCCACAATGAAAAAAATTAGAAAAAAATTTAAATTGGAATATTTCAATATAATATTTTGAAGAGACAGGGCCTTGCTCTGTCGCCTAGGCTGAAGTACAGTGGCTTTATCATGGCTCACTGCAGCCACGTGACCTTCCTGCCTCAACCTCCCCAGTAGGTAGGATTGCAGGCACACACAACCATGCCTGGCCAATTTTTAAAGTTTCTTACAGAGACAGGGTCTCATTATGTTGACCAGACTACTCTTGACCTCTTAGTGTCAAGCCATCTTCCTGCCTTGGTCTCCCAAAGTACTGAGATTACAGGTGTGAGCCATCCCACCCAACCACAGATGGTTTCTGTCTTTATAATTCTGTATATTCCAAATTTTCACCAATGAATGTGAATTAATTTTGTAATTAATATAATTAACAAGATGGGATTTTTTATGTGTTCAGGGGTAAGCTCTACCTACAGGAAAAATTATATAGAGAAACCCATTCCTAACACAGTCTAACCATACTGTGTTAGACAATGAGGAAATGCTCTCTGTGTAC